>NC_000003.12:125069210-125220725 GCF_000001405.40 Homo sapiens | reverse complement strand
ACCACTGGACTGCTTTCAGCTTCGGATACTTGGTCATGTCCTCTTGGGCTACAAAGGCACTATTTTCTCTCTACACTCCATTAAACCTCCTACTCCCACCCCATACATCCCTTGGATTTCAGCCCTAGCATCACTTTCCCAGAAAAGCGTATCCTGATTTTCCTGATTAGGTCACATTAACCATTTCAGAATCTCTCTCATCACTCTGTACAGTTTCTCTAGCCTCTAGACGGCTGTTTGTAATGTGTGAGCATTTGATGAAAGTCTGTCTTGCCCGCCTGCCTGGAGCGGTCTTGCTTCCCACTCTGTGTTCTGTGTTGGCCACAGTCGGTGAGCAACAGATGTTTGGTGAATGTGGTTGAAGGAGGGGATGCAGGCCCCTGAGTTATATCCAAGGATGGAAAGAGAAGCTTGCCGGTCCGGCAGAAGAATCACTCGCAGGGAGTTTGAGGCTCTGGATAACTGCCGTAAGACCAGAAAACTGGACATGTGATTTTCAAAATGGGAGGGAA
The DNA here is from genome assembly GCF_000001405.40 of Homo sapiens. Classification (NCBI taxonomy): domain Eukaryota; kingdom Metazoa; phylum Chordata; class Mammalia; order Primates; family Hominidae; genus Homo; species Homo sapiens. The sequence goes on along the minus strand of NC_000003.12, from coordinate 125,220,213 downwards.
AATAGTGGATTGTGAAAACGAGATAGCTGATCTGGATTTCAGTCCCCAGTAAAATTCTAGAATGTTCATAACCACTCTGCCAGGTAGGCTCGGCAGGTCTTAATCATTAACTCCATGCTACAAGTAAGAAAATGGAAGCTTAGACACATTGGAGACCGTGGGCAAGGTCATAGAGTGAAGAGGGAGAATCAGGTCTCAGATCCAGACCTGACTTCTCTCATCTACACTCTAGACAGCCTGTCACTGGGTCTGCCGTAGATGGTATTTGAGGAAAAGCTAATGCTAATCACTTTGTTGTCACAGTCTAGTGAGGCTGCCACTGTCATCATAAAATAATCTGGACCCTGTTTCTCTGGCTCCTTTCTGCATCTACATTTTGTTTTGTGCTCCCACCAGGTCCCAGCCCATGACAGATGCCAGGTGGCTGATAGAGGCAGAATGACTTTCTCTTGTCAGGGCAAACCCCCAGAATCAACAAATAGCCTAGATCCTGGAGGAGAGACCTGTCCAACAGGAGCTGAACACCCGACACCAGGAAAGCTGCGGCCCTTCCCTCTCCACTCAGTCTTACCAGGGAAGCCAGAGGAGGAGACTGGCCTGCCCCAACTTCCCTGGGAGCCAGGCTCTCTCAGCCTGTGTGAGGGCTTGTGCTTTGTTCCGGCCTGCATCTCCCGAGTCACCCCCTCCCAGCTCCCCGGAATGCTGGGTGGCCCTCTGGCAGGACACCCTCTTGGACCTGGGGCTCTTGGAATTGCATGTCAAAGTCCATGAAGAAGGAAAACTTTTTTCTGTTTTATCTCTTCACCTGGATTAAAGAGGTTGCATTGTGCAGAGGAGAGAGCCTGGCATTGGAATGAGACCTATGTTCCAATCTCGGCTCCACCCTCAGAGCCGGCAAACCCTTGTGAGTGTGTGCAGAATTCCTGTGATTTTTTTAAATACGCAGGCTTGCCCCAGGGAGGTGCATCACAATGACCAACTAAAACATATATATGCAGTTTATATAATTACTCTCTTTAAATAGTAAATTACTTGTGCTGCCTTAGTGATATATCCACCTTCTCCCTGTCATTGAAAATTGTAACTACAATAAGACACCACTGCCAACAAGATGTATTCCATCTCTCAGGTGTTTTGAAGAGGGGAAAAAATACTATCGGGCTAGAAATCTCATGATTTTCAAACCTTGGCTGAGCATTAGAATCATCTGAGAAGTTTAAAGAAAATGCTGATTTCTAGGCCCCACCCCAGACCAATTAAGTAATTAAGTCAGAATATCTGGAGGTGGGTCCCCCAGGTATTGGTATTTTCTGAAACCACCCCTAGGTGATTGTAAAATGTGCACCACACTAGGTGAGCCACCTCTCGAGGCACTTTTGACTGTGGTTCCAGGGCCTAGGCTGTGAGATAGATATGTTTTTGTGTACATACCTATTCACATCATGACTTAATGTTTTCAACCTGCTTTCCCATTCCTATTCTGGTTGACCTTTTCGGAGCCCTGATCTCCCTCCAGGGTTCAGACTTTCTGACAAATGACGCTATCTTTCAGGTTATGATTTTGTTGCCAGCCTTCACACAGATGGCATTTCTCAGTGCCAGCCACTGGAAGGAAAGAGGTGAGGGAGCATCTGGCCTCTCGAAGTGCTGGGATTACAGGCCTAAGCCACCACACCCGGCCTTAAATTCACCTTTTCTTCTATTCAGTAACAACTCAAGGTCAAGGTGAAGCACACAGTAGTGAGCCTATTGCTTTGTGTGTCTCACCTAGCTCAGGCAGGTGGATCACCTGAGCTCGGGAGTTCAAGACCAGCCTGGCCAACATGGTGAAACCCCATCTTTACTAAAAATACAAGATCACCTGGGCATGGTGGTGCATGCCTGTAATTCCAGCTACTCGGGAGGCTGAGGCAGGGGAATCACTTGAACCCAGGAGGTGGAGGTTGCCATGAGCCAAGATTGTGCCATTGCACTCCAGCCTGGGCAACAAAAGCGAAACTCCGTCTCAAAAAAAAAAGTGAGTTTTAATAGCAATATTATTCTTTTTATATATATAACCGGGCTTCAAAAACAGTGAATTCAAACAATGAAATAAATAGAAATACTTTGAAGGGAAATAAAATGTTTTTTTTTTAACCTTGGTTGGATGCTCTAGGTATTCACTATCACTGCGTAACAGATTACCCCAAACCTTAGTGGCTTACAACAACAACAATGATTTATTTTCTCTTATGGGTTCTGTGAGTCAGGAATTCAGACAGAGCCCAGCAAGCACAGCTTGTCTTTGCTCTACAATGCCTGGAGCCTCCGCGGGCGGCTGGAATCATCTGCAGGCTTGTTTCACTCACATGTCCAGTGGTTGACACTGGCTATTGGCTGGAACACCAACATGTGGCCTCTCCATGTGGCTTCCTCACAACATGGTGGCTGAATCCCAAGGGTAAGTGCACTGACAGTGAGGAAGCCAGGCTCCGTATTGCCTTTAGGACCTAGCCCACAAAGTCATGTAGTGTCATTTCTGCCATTTCTCCTGTTGGCTGGGGCACTTAAAAAGGTCCACTCAGGCTCAGTGGGAGGTAACATAGACCCTAACTCCTTTTGAAGGAATCCCAACATCATATTGTAGGAAGAGCATATGGGAAATACAATCTACCCCACATTGTTTGTTTTTTAATTTTCTTATTCATCTCCCACCCCACCCCTTCCAGATTCCAAAGTAACGTATGCTTGTTGCAAGAAAAAATAAATAAATAAAAATCCAGAATTGACTGGTTTGGCGGCTCATGCCTATAATCCCAGCACTTTGGGAGGCTGAGGCAGGAGAATTGCCTGAGACCAGCCTGGGCAACAGAGACCCTGTCTCTACCAGAACAACAACAACAAAAATTCAGAATTTATACACCAAAGTCTATACTCACTATCTCAATCCCTCCCTGGAGATAACCACTATTAACAGATTGATGTGTATTTTTTTTTCTTTTCTTTCTTTCTTTCTTTTTTTGTTTTTTGAGATGGAGTTTTGTTCTTGTTGCCCAGGCTGGAGTGCAATGGTGCAATCTCGGCTCACCGCAACCTCCGCCTCCCTGGTTCAAGCGATTCTCCTGCCTCAGCCTCCAGAGTAGCTGGAATTACAGGCATGTGCCACCATGCCCGGCTAATGTTTTTGTATTTTTAGTAAAGACGGAGTTTTTCCATGTTGGTCAGGCTGGTCTTGAACTCCCGACCTCAGGTAATCCAACCGCCTCAGCCTCCCAAAGTGCTGGGATTACAGACATGAGCCACCGCGCCCGGCCATATTTTTCTATACAAACCACATATATGTGTGTGTGTGTGTGTGTGTGTGTGTGTGTGTGTGTGTGTGTGTGTACACTGCTTTTTAAAACAACACTATACATTATTCTTCGACTTGCTGTGTTTATTCATTATTATGTGATGAACAGAGTTCCATGATAGCATGTATAGAAACATTTAATTCTTTGCTTCTTTTTTTTTTTTTTTGAGATGGAGTCTCACTCTGCCACCCAGGCTGGAGTGCAGTGGCACCATCTCAGCCCACTGCAACTTCCGCCTCCCAGGTTCAAGCAATTCTTGTGCCTCAGCCTCCCAAGTAGCTGGGGTTACAGGCACACGCCATGATACCTAGCTAATTTGTTTTGTATTTTTATTAGAAATGAGGTTTTTAGGACGAGGCAGGTGGATCACCTGAAGTCAGGAGTTCGAGACGAGCCTGGCCAACACGATGAAACCCTGTCTCTACTAAAAATACAAAAATTAGCCAGGTGTGGTGGCTGGCGCTTGTAATCCCAGCTACTCGGGAGGCTGAGGCAGGAGAATCACTTGAACCTGGCAGGCAGAGGTTGTGGTGAGCCAAGATCATGCCACTGTACTCCAGCCTGGCAACAGAGTGAGATTCCGTCTCAAAAAAAAAAAAAAAAAAAAAAAGGAAATGGGGTTTTTATTTTTTGTATTTTTATGAGAAATGTTGGCCAGGCAGCTGGGCACAGTGGCTCATGCCTGTAATCCCAGCACTTTGGGAGGTTGAGGGGGCGGATCACGAAGTCAGGAGTTCGAGACCAGCCTGGCCAACATGGTGAAACCCCGTCTCTACTAAAAATACAAAAATTAGCTGGACATGGTGGCAGGCGCCTGTAATCCCAGCTATTCGGGAGGCTGAAGCAGGAGAATCGTTGGAACCCAGGAGGCAGAGGTTGCAGTGAGCCGAGATCATGCCATTGCACTCCATCCAGAGCGACAGGGCGAGGCTCTGTCTCAAAAAAAAAAAAAAAAAAAAAACAAATGTTAGCCAGGCTGGTCTCAAACTCCTGACCTCAGGTGATCCGCCGGCCTCAGCCTCTCAAAGTGCTAGGATTATAGGCGTGAGCCACTGCACCCAGCCCAGAAACACCTAATTATTTCTAATGCCAGCTGTCATAGTATGGCTGTACCGTTTATCTAAGCAGTCTTCTGTTGATGGACATTTAGGTTGTTCTCATTGTTTAAAGTATTACAAAGTAATGATGCAACAAACATGCTTTTCCTAGTTCATGTAGGGCAGTATCTTCAAAATGGCAATGTTTAAAGGATATGCAGGATACTATCTCTCTCTCTCTCTTTTTTTTTTTTTTTTTTGACAGAGTCTTACTCTGTCGCCCAGGCTGGAGTGCAGTGGCATGATCTCAGCTCACTGCAACCTCTACCTCCCAGGTTCAAGCAATTCTCCTGTTTCAGCCTCCCGAATCACAGGTGCCTACCATCACACCTGGCTAAATTTGGTATTTTTAGTAGAGACAGTTTTTCACCATGTTGGCCAGGCTGGTCTCGAACTCCTGACCTCAGATGATCCACCTGCCTCAGCCTCCCAAAACTCTGGGATTACAGGTGCAAGCCACCTCGCCCAGCCAGGATACTATTTTTCAACATGAGGTTTTTTGTTTTTGTTTTTGTTTTTTTGTTTTTTTAAGGTTAGTGTTATTGTTATAAGAAAAATCTACATTAAGCAGGATATATATATATTTTTCTTTGCAAAGGGCAGGTTTCTGTAGCCTTAACATGAAGAAAATAAACAACTATATTTGTTTCTGGGTTTAGAAGATGCTTATAAGCTTTGAAGGGAACTTCTCATTTATTTAGAAAATGACGAGTGACAGGAAGTAGGTGGTTATAAAGCGAGAGGTGGATTCCCCATTCTAAAGTTTTTAACTCAGGCTGATATGGAATTGAATGCAGATTCTTCAAAATTCATGTTGACACTTAGAGGGAGACTCATCGGAAGGTGACAGCAAACAGGAAACCAGCTTGAGGCAAAAAAAAAAAAAAAAGAGCAGTGTCATGTATGACCCACCAAAAGTGAATAAGAAAAATGACTCTGCTGATCATTCTGATGAATCTGTGGAAATACAGTCAGCCCTTCATATCTGTGGATTTGACCAAGGCAGGTCAAAAATATTTGGTTAAAAAAAAAAGCATGGTTGCAGCTGTACTGAGCATGTACAAAGTTTTCTTCTTGTCATTATTCCCTAAACAATACAGTATAACAACAATTTACATAGTTTTTTTTTTTTGTTTGATTGTTTGTTTGTTTTTTTTTTAAGACAGGATCTCACTCTGTCACTCAGGCTTTAATGTAGTGGTATGATCATGGCTCACTAGAGCCTCAACCTCCTGGGCTCAGGCAATCCTCCCACCTCAGCCTCCCAAGTAGGTGGGACTACAGGCATGCACCACCATGCCCAGCTAATTTTTAAAATTTCTTTTGTGGGGAAAAGAATAGGCTCTCACCGTGTTGCCCAAGCTGGTCTTGAATTCCTGGGCTCACGTGATCCTCTCACCTTGGCCTGGAGATTTGGAATTTTTGTAATTCCAAAGTGCTGGAATTACAGGTGTGAGCTACTGTGCCTGGCCTTGAATTAGGTATTATACGTAATCTGGAGATGACTTAAAGTATGTGGGAGGATGTGTGTAGGTTAAATGCAAATACTACATCACTTTATATCAGGGACTTAAGCATCTACGCATTTTGGTATTGGTCAGGGGGCCTGGAACTAATTTCCTGCAGATGCCAAGCGGTGACTGCATAATGGATTCCAGTAACGTGACTGTGTCAGCCTGTCCGCCCATTCATCCTTTGTTCACAGATGGTTAATCTGTAACTTTTGGGGGGTCTTTTTTTCTGGCAGAGATGGGTTATTAAAAATTTCTTTGCTGGGAATGAAATTCTGACACATGCTACAACATGGATGAACCTTGAGGACATTATGCTGAGTGAAGTAAGCCAGACACAAAAGGACAAGTATTGTATGATTCTACTTACATGAAATACACAAAATAGGTAAATCCATAGAGACGGGAAGTAGATGAGGGGAGTTACCTCTGAGGGTAGACGAAACGGGGAGTTAGTACTTAGTGGGTACAGAGTGTCTATTGGGGACGATGAAAGTTTTGGAAATAGCGATGATGGTTGGACAATATTGTGTGTGATTAATACCACTGAACTGTACAGTTAAAATGGTAAAAATGGCAAATATGATGTTCTATATCTTCACACGCGTCTTTGCTGGAGCAGAAGCGAGAGGTTAGGTTCTGTCAGTGTTCCCATGGCTTAGCCTTCCCTTTTGTTTTTAGAAGAACAACCTCTATTTTTAGGGATTTTCACACAAAGGCTTGTGGGCGTGGGAAGTTCTCCCAGCTGCCCTCCTGTTTCTCAGAAGCCCACATGGAAGCCTCTCAAATTATTTAAGGTTTAGGAAATATGCCAGATTGGGAATGGAGATAATTTAATCTCTCTGTATGTTAATTTAGGGTTCTTTTTTTCTGCAACATGAGGCCCTGGAAACCTTACTTCACCCCTAGGAAAGGCAGTTCTGGGTCTTGGTGAAGGGGGTAAGGGTAATTCACCCCTACACAGCATGCCCAGAGCGCTTTCCTGGCAAAAGCAGTTCCACGCCCTCAGAGTCTGGGGTCACCTGATCACGCAGCCAGGCACACACGGAGACCCCCGGTACCGGGGTCTCGGTCAGCTTGTCCAGATTCTTCTCCACATCTGCCCAGGGGGCTGCGGGTTTCCCTGCACTCCGGGCTTATCCCGGGCTTTCTCAGTCCTGCGTGCAGTGCTCACAGCCACTCCTCAGAGCCGCACAGGGTAGGCTCCTGTCCCTAGTCCCCTGGTCCCGGGGCTGGGCATTTCCGCTGGTTGCACTGTCGAGGGGGGAGAGGCAGTGGCTGGTCACTTCGAGCCTGTGGGCTTGCGGCCCCTACTCCCTGTTTTCCCCCAGCCCTGCCCCTACCCAGGTGAATGTTCTTGTCCAGGTAGGCGCGAAGGCCCGACCCTTGCGGAGGGAAAGCCTCTGCAGCGCCTCCTCGCCACCTGGGCCCGAGACTCCCGGTGCTGGCGTGGCAGGGGTGCCCCCGCCGGGACGGGACAGCTGGGACCCGCGCAGCCGAGCCGGGGCAGCCACGTGGCGGCGGGGCGGGGACCGGGCGGGCCGGGCGCTGGGAGCTGGCTGTCCCAGGAGCAGGTGAGGGCGGAAGGGCTGTGGGGGGTGGAGAGGGTGGTCTCGGGACAGTTCCTCTCCCCGGCCCGCAGTTAGGAGCCAGGCCTGGGGTCACCTTTGCCCCCACCTCCCCGCCCAGGTGGATCCTCTCCTACCGCCGGTCACCCGCGCGCCGGCACACGGGCCTGGCCCCAGTACTTGGGGTGCGGGTCCGCGTCTGCGTGGGGTGCCAAGGGGCCCGGGTCCCAGCGTGGCCCAAACGTGAGGGTAGGGGCTCCGCGGAGGAGCCAGGTGAATGTGGGCGGAGGCCTGCGGGGCGGCCTGCGGAGGCCGCGGGGCGGCGGGAAGGGCGAGCGGAGGCCTGGGGTCCCTTGCTCTGTGCGGCGCGGGCAGCCGGGGACACCCGGGTGCTCTGGCTCCCTACCTGTCACCCGGCTTTTGGCAGGACTGCAGCCCACCAAGTCCCCCAGCCTTCCCAGCTTCCCACTGGGCTAACCCTCCTCTCCCAACCCCCCACTCAGTGCTCCGGGCGCCTTCCCTCCTCGCCAGCGCTGGCTGCTGTCCTTAGTCGCCTTCTTCCCAGGAAGATCAGCTCTAACCCTCCCCCTCGCTCTCTTCCTCCCCCTTCCTCCTTCTACCAAAGGGTCCTGAGCCCCGTCTACCTTGCAGCACTGTGCTGGGGAGAGGCGCCACACAGATCAAGGGGACAAACTCCCTCCTCCCCTCAAGGAAAGCCAGGTCCAGCGCGAAGGGGAGGGTGCCTGGGGGTGGGTTGAGGAGCTGCCCTAGTCCTGTCCAGCCTTTTCTCACTCACCCTCTTCAATCTCCTACCCTTCTCCGGCCCTGCTCCAGAAGGGCCCCAAAACAGCCTCCTCATGGCCCCTCTCCCCTCTGCTCAGGGCGCAGCTACATTCACTCACCACCTGCAGCCAGGTCTAGTGCGTCATGATGCCCTCCTCCTGGAGAGAGGGGTTCACGAGGCACTTGAGGGTGGGAGAGGAGTGTGACTCTGTGTCCTCAAGGGCTGGGCAGCAGGGCAGCTGGCTCTGACCCTCACGTATTTAAGGAGCTCAGGGAAGGAGAGAGCTGGGAGTGCCTGAGGTTCTAGGGCAGCAAGGTTTGAGCACAGGTGGGCACTGAAGGACCAGCGGGATCTACCTGGGTACCAAAAAGGTAACCCGGCCAAGTTTCCAGATGAGGTAGACAAGGTTTCTTCCTCAGCCAGGGCCTCGCCTGGTAGTTTGAACAATTCTAGTAGAGAGAAAGGATGGACAACAAGGGGAGAGGAGAGGAGAAGCCAGCCTGACCAAGGATGCTGTTACCTTCCAGAGCAGTCTCCCTGTCCAGATCACCAGGATCCCTGCTTGCTGGAGAATGACCCAGATGTCCCAGGTGCAGGAGCTCTTCCATGAGGCAGCCCAGCAGGTAGGCTCAGGATGTGCCAGGGTCTGTGATGGAGGCCTGTGAGCACGGGGATCCCCAGACAGTGGGCTGGATGCAAACATTACAGCGCACCCTTTAGATGTAATTAACTCCAAAGTCTATTTTGGTCATCCAGTTCAATGAGAAAATATTATAGCCAAAATATTATAGCCATTATTAACTGTTCATATACAGAAAACCTTTGGCATTATTTGTGGTGGATTTTGAATCCTGGGATCCCCCACAACTCCAAACTCCATCCTGAGAGGTCTTCCACAGACAGTCACAGTGAGGACTCAGATAATATGAACTCATTTTAATTCTGAATCAAACCAATGTAAGAAGGTAAATTTATTTCTGAAAAAACTCTTATGTTCTGAAGCCAAAAGGATTTCTGAATGCCCTGGTGTTTGCTATTTTTTTTTCTTCTTTTTTCTTTATCTTCTCCCTGCTGATCATTAGTTACATGCATTCTGTAGATATGGAATTGAAGTGGCTCTACCCAGAAATGGAGAGCTGATCCCTTAAGAAATAATAATAATAATAAACCATACTAAAGTGTTTATCCAGAAACTATGTGCACCCAGGGTCTTTGCCATCCATGATCACTCAACATGAAGTTTTCACCATCCCTTGGGTTTCTTTCCTGCTTCTAGAGAGTGGCAGGAGGGTTTCCCAGCCTTGTAACAGGGGGACAAGCCCCATCAGAGGGGAGAGAATCAACAATGAACAAGAAACCCAGACAGAAAATGTGAGGCCCAGGAATTCCCAAAGGAGAGACAAATAAGACATTCTGAGATCTCCCCTGTGATGGCATCTGTTCCTCTCTCCCCTGTTTAAAACCTTCAGTGTCTCCTCATGTGCACCACTCAGGGCTCAAACTCTTCAGCCTCAGCCCTATACAGTCTGACCCCACCTGAGTCTCAAGTCGAGTTCCCCACATCTTCTTCTTCCTGCCACACCTTCCAGCTGAACCACACCATTCCCCAGAGCTTATATCTTTCCCTTGATCTTTGCTGATGCTTCTTATCAACAATTTGTCACTGAAACCTTCACCCAAGTATTTAAGTGGTATTTAAGTATTTAAATTGGTATTTAAGTGGACAGTAAATTTTAGTTGATTGATCACATGAACAAACAACAGAAAACCACAATGCAAGTTAAATTGTCATAAGTGCCCTAAGAGAGAGTTGATTTCTAAAATGTGATGGATACAATGACCTCTGTGTTGCCTCCTTCTCCCTTAATAGCTAAACATCGAAGGATTGGACATGGCCCAATGCCCAATTTTAAGGCCTTTGGTGTTCATGATTTAGAAATCCATCCTTTCTTTCTCTCTCCCTCCCCTGCACTGTCTTGTTAAGGTACCATTTCTTGATTGGATGATTCATACTCTCCTAAGTTCTTTTTCCACATTGCTACTAAAGTGATGCTTTTATGAAGCATAGATCTGTGCATTTGACCCCTCTGCTTAAATTCCTTCAATAGCTTCTCACTGCCTTCAGAATTCAGCTCAGACTCCTCATCTTGGCCGCCAGGGCCCTCCGTGATGGTTAACTCACCCCTTCTGTTCCACAGCATCCTGTGTCACTGCACTTACCATGTAGCATTGAAATGAGCTGCTTCTTTTCTGTCTCCCTTAAAGCTGTGAACTTAAATTCAGGGGCATGTCTTATTTATTTTTGTATCCCCAATACCTGGCATGGTGTGTTGTGTATAGAAGTTGCCCCATCAGTGTTGGTTCTACTGAACTGAACTTACCTGGCTAGGAATTGGGTGAGTTGCCATTTGCATTAAGTCTTAAAGTAATGGTGGAAGTGGAACATATGGTGGACTTGGGAAGCATATTCCAGGTGGGAGGGTGAGAAAATGATAATAGCTACCAATTAGTGGGCACTTACTGTATACTGAGCACTTAATATGCATTACCTCATTTATCTCCACTACAACATTCTGAAGTTGATATGATTATTTTGGTTTGACACAAGAATAACTGTAGCACTGTAAAGCCAGGCATGTTTGATGCCAAGTCCCAAGCTTTCATCCTTTTTGCTATGTGCCTCCTGCTCCAAATGGTATAAGCAAAGCCACCCAGATGGCAAATTAAGGACCTCTGCGTGGGAACAGAGAGTAAGTTAGGTGGCTAAAATGCTGGAAGCTGAACTCTAGGAGTGGCTAGCCCTCAAGAAATTTCCTGGGAACCTTTGAACAATTTTATTCCAGTCTTGGGGATCAGAAATTCTGCTAGGAGCTTTGGGGCCTGCAGAACACAAGATTAGGAGGCAGTGCCCAGTGGGAAGACAGGCTAGTGGGTGTCATGCCACCTTCAGTCTTGACCTGCTCTTCTCTTGGTCACGGTGATTAGAAAGTGGCTCACAGGAAGTTTGGCAAGGGTGGGGACACTTGGAAGTTAGGTGGAGGGTGAATGAATGGACTCTTGGTTTGGCTTTAATCATTTTAGGACCAGATAGGGTAGCTCTCTCTCTCTCTCTCTCTCTCTCTCTCTCTCTGTGTGTGTGTGTGTGTGTGTGTGTGTGTGTGTGTGTGTGTGTGTAGATTGGTCAGTAATAAGTGAACCAGCTGGGAAGGAGCTGTAGATCTGAGTGTTAATGGTGTGGTGGTCGAGGGTGCATGTGCTGCCTGGGTCAAGTCCTGGCTCTAATACTTTGTGACCTTGAACAAGTTTCGTAACCTCACTAAGCCTCCGTTTCCTCACCTACAAAATGACTGCCCAGTGATTGAAACTACCATAGAGAATGAAGACAATTAAAAGAGATAATTTGTGTAAATATTTGGTATAGTGCTTGGTTCCTGGTCAGCATTCAGCTTATATTATATAAATGGCTAATAATTAAACTAAGGGGAGTATGTATTTAATCCAGGGGGTAGTGGTATAAATGAGCAGAAGGATCCATTGGCAAATCAATGCATGACTCAGCACAGCTGAGTCAGGCAGAAGACATAAGGCAGGAGTCTCAAACCCAAAATCATACCTTGGGCCAACACCAGAATGTGGGACATTGTTCCAGACAACCTGCTGGGTGGGCAGTCTATTGAGGATGATGTGTGCTTTCTAGGCCTGGGTGAGTCTGGAGTGGTTTGGGAATGTGAGTGTGTGTTTGGAGACCCACCGAACTTCTGGCAGGCCAAGCCTTGTTCCAGGGGCCTCTGTCTGGAGGCACTTTGTGTGCTCTGGTGGTAGACTCAAACCTGGGTTCTGGGTTTCCCATTCTGACTGTGCTGCTGGATAGGCTGGGCCCTTGGGCAAGTTACCCACAGGCTCCCAGTCTATTTCCACAACTATGTGATGGGGTGAGTGGACCTGATTCTCAGGGTTTTTATGAGATTAAAGGAGATGCCATATGTGGAAGGGTCTGGGCCAGTGCCTCTCTCATGACAAGCACTAAGTAAAATGCTCATTTGATGATTGGATGAAGCCGATCGCACACAGAAGCCCAGCGGAGTAGGCTGTGAAACTTGGGGCTTGAAAACTAAGAAAGAAACAGCCAGTGCAGAGGGAGGTGAACAGAAGGCTAATGAGCCATGATTGGGTGCTTGTCTGTGCCAGGTACTGGACAGACAGGACTGTGACGATCTGGGTGTTTCAGGAAGACTGCGTTGGCAGGAGAAAGCAGGTAGCCTGAGACAAAAACAGATGGCAAGCTGACAAGCTGTGTGGAGGTCTGAAGTCCTGCAGAATCTCATGCTCTTAGCGTTGGGAATAGGGAGAAAACTCGGTTTCATTTACCAGGTGTTTATTGAATGACAGTTCTTGCCAGGATCCCCAGTTCCTGCTGGATATACTAAAACAAGTACAAAACCAACAGCAATCTCCTAGTTCTTATGGAATAAGAAGTGCCTCCAGCTAGCCTGAGGCTTTTGTCTTTCTTCTCTCAGGGTTGGAGGGTCTCAACAGGAACTTAAAAGGGAAGCTGGCCTGAGAATAAGTCACCAAAAACCAATATAACTAGTACACTGGATTCATGCTTTTCTGCATTCTGCTCTACCACAGAGACTTGAAGTGTAGCACTAGTGGGTCCATGTGGACCCTTTTCTAGGAGGTCTGCAGGCCAAAGTCTGGCTAATTATTCTAGAAAAAACCCGCTGCAGGCCGTGGGAGCAGGCTCCCCGTCAGAACCATTGTGACTGGCCCAAGCACAGGAGGAGGAGTTTCCAGGTCGCTGAGACCTGCCTGGGTTCTGACTCTGCTCCGTCTTCTTGTACAGCGTCCCAGCTCTTTCCCTTCTGTGTCCTCTCCTCTCTTGCTCTCTCATGGTTTGTATCTGTGTCCCCACCAAATCTTATGTTTAATTGTAATTCCCAGTGTTGGAGGTAGGGCCTGGTGGGAGATGATTCCATCCTGGGGGTGGTTTCTCACCAATGGTTTAGCACCATTCCCTCGATGCTGTTCTGATAGTGAGTGAGTGAGTTCTCATGAAATCTGGTTGTTTAAAAGTGTGCAGCACCTCCCAGGACCTCTTGCTCCTGCTCTGGTGACATAAGATGCCTGCCTCGCCTTTGCCTTCCACCATGATTGAAAGTTTCCTGAGGCCTCCCTGGAAGCAGAAGCTGCTATGCTTCCCGTACAGCCTGTGGAACCATAAGCCAATTAAACCTCTTTTCTTTATAAATTACCCAGTCTCAAGTATTTCTTTATAGCAATGCACGTACGGACTAATACACACTTTTTCTCTGTCTTTTCCTCTTCAATTAGATGGCTTACCTGAGTTAGCTTGGTGTGGTAAGATAGAGCCTGGTCAAGTTTTGGGGCAATGGTGAATAGAGAAGTGGCACTGGCAAGAGAGGTAGATAGAAATAGAACCAAACAATCAAGACATGGAGGAGTCCTCAGAGATCTTCTGGCCTAGTCCATTTGCTTGTCGTGTCAAGAAGCAAGCCCAGAGACTTGAGTTCCAGCAATAGTGGGTCCAGGAGGACGTAAATATTGAGTGACTTGCCCAGAGCAAGGTTAGAAGGCAGAACCAGGTTAGAAGCAAGGCTACTGGCCCCAGAACACAGCCCTGAGTTGACCCTGACATATCCAATTTTGAGTATGGGTGTCAGGCTTCATTGCAAAAGCTTGGCTCATATTTTCTGAGTGCTCATTAGCCAGTGTATGGTTAAGAACTGACTTTTATTTTTACTATGCATTTTTCAGGGCTGTTTTAGCATCTTTAAAAAGCTATGTGAGCCTCAGCAGCCATGTGCCAGGCAATAGCATATTGCTTTATTAGTAGATGTAGAAAAATGAATGCAGCTGAGGAGGAAGGAAAAGGGAACTTCAGACAAGACAGTCTTGTTAGCCCCTCTTTTTTTTCTTTAAGCATATTTATATCTCTTGAAGCCCCTCTTTTTAAGATGAGGACACTGGGGCCCAAATGGTTGGGTGGAAGAGCAGGGCTCAATTCTGGGATTCCTAGAGCCATGACCCCCTCACTATCCCAGGTCTTGTAGGGCATGAAGCTTATACCATTTTTATGGACTCTCTAGTAAAAAGGATACAAATTGCAAATAGAAAATTTGGCATAATCTTTGGAAGGGACCAAATGCCAAATGATGCGTCCTAAGGCTTAAGCTGTTAGCTTCACCATAAAACCACCTCTGGTCAATGGACGGAAGCAACTTTAAAGGCAGCAGAAGACAAGAGGCTTATGCTCCTGGAGCTGGAGAGAAGTAACAGCAGATCCTGTTCTCAGGATTGAGATGCGGCGGAAGCATTTCATATGCACACTGACATCCTTTCCTCTTTCTCCTCTGTCTTTCCCCCTTTCCACTTTAAAGACCTGTTGGTTACTTTGCCTGAAAATGACAACTGGGCCCCAAATGCTGCATATTTGTAAAAAATAGAGTGGGGACATTTTCTGGATAAAAGTGTCCCACCTAGAAACTGGAGTGAAAGTGTTCTTCACTGAAATGAGTTAGGCAGGGTTCTGTGACTCATTTGTACCCGCCGTATTTTAACTTACAGAGGTGAGAACATGCAGAGGTCGATGCCACTGAAAGATTTCTGTTACTTACCTTGCTTGAGAAGAGAGAATACACTATGCCACGCAGGGTCACAGGGAAGCACCAGGGATGCTCAGGGGGCTGAAGACAGGAGTGAGGGTTTATTGGGGTTTCTGCAGGAGAGGAAAGGCAGGGCACGGTGGACAGCTTAGGACTGGCAGTTTGAACAATTCTAGTGGGCTCTGGGTTATAGGGGTGGCCTCTGGTTGCCGGGTGTCTGGCTCTGGGATGATTGGGGTCAGGAGAAATCTTGGCTTGGTGTGTGAGTTAGATGAGGAGGTGGTCTTTGGTGGTATAGACTCAGCATTGGTTGTTTTGCTTAAGAAAGCTGTGTTCATGGCTAAGCCTTTTGCTCTCTCTGAGAATTGACTAGGTCTGAGAGGGTCAGTCTTTCCTAGGCCAGCAAGATTTTAAAACATTTTTAAGTTGATATATAATAATTATACGTATTTATGGGGGTACATATGATATTTTGGTACATATATACAATGTGTAATGATCAAATCAGGGTAATTGGGGTATCCATCACCTCAAATATTTATCATTTCTTTGTCTTAGGAGCATTTCAAATCTTCTCCTCTAGCTATTTTGAAATATACAATAAGTTATTGTTGACTATAGTTACCCTTCTTTGCTATAGAACACTAGAACTTACTCTTTTTATCTAACTATGCAGTTATACCCATTAACCAACCTCTCTTCATCCCCCCAATCCCCTTCCCACCCTCTGATAACCATCATTCTACTATTTAGCTCAATGAAGTCAACTGTTTTAGCTCCCACATATGGATAAGAACATGTGATATCTGTCTTTCTGTTCCTGGTTAATTTCACTTAACCTAATGACCTCCAGTTCCATCCACGTTGCTGCACATGACAGGATTTCATTCATTTTTATGGCTAAATAGTTTTCCATTGTATACATTTACCACATTTTCTTTATTCATTCATCTGTTGATGGACACTTAGGTTGACTCCTTTTGCTATTGCGAATAGGGCTGCAATAAACATGGGTGTGCAGGCATCCCTTTGATATACTCATTTCCTTTCCTTTGGATAAGTACCCACAGTGGGATTGCTGGATCATATGGTAGTTCTATTTTTAATTTTTAATGAGCTTCCATATTGTTTTCTATAATGCCTGTAATAATTCACATTTTCACCAACAGTGCACAAGGGTTCCCTTTTCTCCAAAGCCCCACAAACACTTGTTATTTTACATTTTTTGGATAATAGTCATTCTAACAGGTGTGAGGTGGTATCTCATTGTGGTTTTGATTTGCATTTCCCTGATAATTAGTGCTGTTGAGCATTTTTTCATGTGCCTGTTGGCCATCTGTGTGTCTTCTTTTGAGGAATGTCTATTTAGATGTTTTGCCCACTTTTTAATGGGATTAGTCATTTTATGCTGTTGAGTTGTTTGAGTTCCTTGTATGTTCTGGATATTAGTCCCTTGTTGCATGAATATCTTGCAAATATTTTATCCCATTCTACAGGTTGTCTTTTCACTCTACTGTTTCCTTTGCAGTGCAGAAACTTTTTAGATCAATATGACCCCATTTGTCTATTTTTGTTTCTGTTGCCTGTGCTTTTGAAATCTTAGCCATAAAACCTTTTCCCAAACCAATGTCCCAAAGCATGCCCCCTATGTTTTCTTCTAGCAGGTTTATAGTTTGGGTGTTACATTTATGTCTTTAATCCATTTTGTGTTGCTTTTTGTATAGGTTGAGAGATGGGGGTCTAGTTTCATTCTTCTGCATGTGGATATACAGTTTTCCTAGTACCATTTATTGAAGAGGGTGTCCTTTCCCCAATATATGTCCTTGGCACCTTTGTTGAAAATCAGTTGGCTGTAAATATGTGGATTTATTTCCAGATTCTCTATTCTGTTCCTTTGGTTTATGTGTCTGTTTCTATACCAATATCATGCTGTTTTGGCTACCATGGCTTTGTAGTATATTTTGAAGTTGGGTAGTGTGATGCTTTCAGCTTTGTTCTTTTTGCTCAGGATTGCTTTGGCTATTCTGGCTTATTTTTTGTTGTTGTTTCATACAAATTTTAGGGTTTTTTTTTTCTATTTATGTGAACAATGTCATTGGTATTTCAATAGGGATTGTATTGACTCTGTAGATTGCTTTGCATAGTATGGCCATTTTAACAATAGTAATTCTTCTCACTAATAATTCTTTTTTTTTTTTTTTTTTTTTGAGATGAAGTCTCGCTCTTGTCCCCCAGGCTAGAGTGCAATGATGCGATCTCAGCTCACTGCAACCTTCACCTCCTGGGTTCAAGCGATTCTCCTGCCTCAGCCTCCCAAGTAGCTGGGATTATAGGTGCCTGCCACCACGCTTGGCTAATTTTTGTGTTTTTAGTAGAGACGGGGTTTCACCATGTTGGGCAGGCTGGTCTCAAACTCCTGACCTCAGGTGATCCGCCCGCCTTGGCCTCCCAAAGTACTGGGATTACAGGCCTGAGCCACCGTGCCCGGCTTCTCATTAATAATTCTAAGCATGGGATGTCTTTCCATTTGTTTGTGTCCTCTTTAATTTATTTCATCAGTGTTTCGTAGTTCTCATTGTAGAGGTTTTTCATGTCCTTGGTCAGCAAGATTTTTAAGTTGTCATAACATCATTAGATACAGATTTAAAAAAAAAAAAAAAAAAAACATGGTTAATACATTCCGCCTAGCTATGAATAGAGGGACTAGGTAACTTCAAACCTTCTTACTGCCTTAAGGTAAATTTCATCCATGGTCAGATATAGACAAAATACTGCATTTGCCATCATTTAATCGTCTGGGGTTTGCAAGGAAAGCCTAGATGCTATGGTAATGCCTCTGAAGTACTATTCTTGTAATTTGAATAAGGTGCCATTAGGTGGTGCTTTTACTCTGGCCGCCTGGCCTGATTGAACACCCTGGCTTCCTGTAGGGGAGAGTAACTGAGTTTTAGCTTACCTTTTCATTCATTTTATACTTTCTCTGGCCAAAACACATCTCTTCAGAATAACAGTTAAAACATTAGATAGTTCTATATTCCTAGAACATTATCAATTAATTGTAGTAGGATTAAGAGAAATACACATACGGCTGGGCGAGGTGGCTCATGCCAGTAATCCCAGCACTTTGGGAGGCCGAGGTGAGCAGATCACCTCAAGTCAGGAGTTCGAGACTAGCCTGGCCACCATGGTGAAACACCGTCTCTACAAAAATACAAAAAAGTTTAGCTGGGTGTGGAGGCAGGTGCCTGTAATCCCAGCTACTCAGGAGGCTGAGGTGGGAGAATCACTTGAACCCAGGAGGCGGAGGTTGCAGTGAGCTGAGATCAAACCCCTGCACTCCAGCCTGGGTGACAGAGTGAGACTCCATCTCAAAAAAAATTAAATTAAAAAGAAATACACATACTTCAGTATAATTCAATTCAGTATCTCTTTTTGCTCTTCAATAATTATCAAGTATAATTTAATCTAATTCCTAAATTTTTTCTTTCTGAATTTTAACACCTTAATCAAAGGGTGGGTGCGCTTGACGTGAAAAGTCTTTAGAGGTAGTACCTATTTAAGCTTTGATGCTTCTTTTTTTTTTTTTTTTTTTTCAATCATGGCTTACTGCAGCCTCAACCTCCTGGGCCTGAGTAGCTGGGACCACAGGTGCATGCCACCATGCCTGGTTATTTTAAAAATATTTTGTAGAGGCAGGGTTTTGCCATTTTGCCCAGGCTGGTCTTGAACTCTTGGGCTCAAGCAATCCTCCCATGGGCCTCCCAAAGTACTGGGATTACAGGTATCAGCCACCTCACCCGGCTTTGATGCATTTCTAATACAATAATGCTTTAACATTTACCACTGCTTGGGAGAAAGGTCCTATTTACATTCCTTTTGTTTTTTGTTTTTAGAGACAGGGTCTCACTCTGTTGCCCAGGTTGGAGTGCAGTGATGTGATCATAGCTCACTGCAGCCTTAAACTCCTGGGACTCAAGGGATCCTCCCACCTCAGCCTCCCAAGTAGCTAGGACCACAGCACATGCCACCATGTCTGGCAAATTTTTAAATTTTTTGTAGAGATGGGGTCTCACTATGTTTCCCAGGCTGGTGATGAACTCCTTGCCTGGCCTCAAGTGATCTTCCCGCCTCAGCCTCTGAAAGCACTGGGATTACAAATGTGAGCCACCGTGTCCAGCCTGTTTGTTTTTGATTTGTTGTGTGAATGTCTTCTTCCCCACACGAACAGTCAGAAAGAAAGAAAAAAGGGTAGTGTGGTAAAAACCACTCACCTGTGTAAAAATTCTAGCATGTTCTTTTCCCAGTTTGCAGATATCCGGTAAATCACATCCATGGTCACTGTCCCTGGTTACAGGCTTTAGGAGCTTACTGATTAACTTGAGGCAATGGTGGCTGAGCAACCCTCACTAAGCCAAAAATAGTTGCGTTCCTGCTCTACCATGAGTCTCCGTGTTCATAGAATTCAACTTAAAACCGAAAGCCATGACTCCTTTTGAGTCACTTTCCTTTTTAATTTTAGGTAGTTATTAGTAAAGAATAACACAAAGCAAAAACAAATTTAAAAACTTAGAGATACACAAAGAATTTTGAGGTAGACATTGATTTTACAAAAGGATTCACCATCTTTAAGTATTCCATGTATTCAATACATTTTAAAATGTGATTGAAATCACAGGAATCTTTTGGTGAATTCATCCACTGAATAAAATGACATATAGCCATAAATGGTATCCCTAATGCCAGGTCAGCCAAAAAACCCATTCTGTTTTTAAAATATTTCTAATAATGTGGTAATTTTTTCTTTAAACATAAAATAAGTTAGTTCTTGTTGTTGTTGTTGTTTTTCTTTGAGACAGAGTCTCGCTCTGTTCCCAGCTGGAGTACAGTGGCACGATCATGGCTCACTGGAGCCTTAACCTCCCAGGCTCAGATGATCCTCCCTCCTCAGCCTCCTAAATAGCTAGGACCACAAGGGCACACCACCATGCCCAGCTTATTTTTTGTATTTTTAGTAGAGACGGGGTTTCGCCATGTTCCCAGGCTGGTCTCAAACTCCTGGACTCAAGCGATCCGCCTGCCTGGGCCTCCCAAAGTGCTGGGATTACTGGTGTGAGCCACTGTGGCTGGTCTAGGGTTTTTATCATAGAAGTACTACATGCATGAAGTGAGAAGGATTCACACAATACAGCATGACATGAAATGAAAAGCCTTCCTTCCCTCTTCCTTCACTTCTATTCCCCAGTGGCAGTCATTGCTAATGGCTTCTGGTTTTCATGTCTTCTAATTGTTCTCACTGTAACTTTAAATAATATTCTTATACCTCAGTTTCTTAGGTTACCAATTTGTTATCATTTTACTTCCTGTTTCCCATATGAAAAATAGGACGTTGGCACACATACACTTCCTTCCATTTCTCTCATTTCATTTCCATTTTTTAATAGTTGCTTTATTATTTTTACATTGTCAAGGTTTATACCATTTTTTTCTGGAACTGTATTTTCATGTTTATTATAGTTGGTTATAAAAATGTATTTTATTTTATTTTTTTTTGAGACCAGGTCTTGCTCTGTCACCCAGGCTGGAGTGCAGTGGCGTGAGCATAGTTCATTGTAGCCTCGAACTCCTGGGCTCAAGCGATCCTCCCACCTCAGCCTTCCAAGTAGCTGGGACTACAGGCATGTGCCACCACACCTGGCCTTTTTTTTTTTTTCCTTCTTCTAGAGAAGGGGTTTGATTATGTTGCCCAGGCTGGTCTCAAACTCCTGGCTTCAAGTGGCCCTCCTGCCTTGGCTTCCTAAAGTGTTGGAATTACAGGCATAAGCCACTGCCCCAGGCCTACCATCTTAACTATTTTTATGTGTACAGTTCAATGGTATTAAATACATTCATAATGTTTTGCAACCTATTTATTTATTTGACAAAATTTTACACTTACAGAAAAGTTGTAATAATACAATAAAAAACCCCACATACTCTTGACTCAGTCGATTCAGATTGACCACTTGTTAACACTTTGCCTTTTTGCTTTATCATTAGACCATTTTCTCTATATATATGTATATATTTTCTCTAAACCATATAAAAACAATTTGCAGACATCATGTCCTTTTATCCATAAATATTTCAGTGTCTATTTCCTAAGAACAAGAATGTTTTTTTACCTAACCACAGTATCTTTTTCAGGATCAGGACATTTAACATAGAAAAATCCTATTGTCAGCCGGGCATGGTGGCTCACGCCTATAATCCCAGCACTTTGGGAGGCCAAGGAGGGTGGATCACGAGGTCAGGAGATCGAGACCATCCTGGCTAACACGGTGAAACCCCATCTCTACTAAAAATTCAAAAAAATTAGCCGGGCGTGGTGGCGGGTGCCTGTAGTCTCAGCTACTGGGGAGGCTGAGGCAGGGGAATGGCATGAACTCGAGAGGTGGAGCTTGCAGTGAGCCGAGATCACGCCACTGCACTCCAGCCTGGGTGATAGAGCGAGACTCCATCTCAAAAAAAAAAAAAAATCCTATTGTCTAATCTGTAGCTCTACATTAAAATTTTACCAGTTATCCCACTAACATCCCCCAGCTTCTCCCCAAGACCTCCTTCCAGGATCCAATCCAGGATCATACATGACCCTTAGTTGTGATTTCTCTCGTTTTATTTTATTTGAGACAGAGTTTCACTATTCTCCCCCAGGCTGGAGTTCAGTGGTGAGATCTCGGCTCACTGCACCCTCTGCCTCCCAGGTTCAAGCGATGCTTCTGCCTCAGCCTCCCGAGTAGCTGGGATTACAGGCATCCGCCACCACACCCAGCTAATTTTTGTATTTTTAGTAGAGGTGGGGTTTCACCATATTGGCCAGGCTGGTTTCGAACTCCTGACCTCAGGTGATCACCCACCTCAGCCTCCCAAAGTGCTGGGATTATAGGCCTGAGCCACTGCACCTGGCCAGTTGTGACAATCTCTTTAGTCTCTTTTAATCTGGAATAGTCCCTTGGCCTTTCTTTGTCTTTTATGACCTTGACTGTTTTGTTTTTTTTTTTTTAAAGAACACATGTTGGTTATTTTGTAGAATGTCCTCAGGTTTTCTTATTTTTGTTTTTTTGTATTTTATAGGCAGAATTGGGGATGATGTCCCTCAGTTTGGGGCATGACCTGTCACAGGTAGATTTAGGTTTTCTATTTTTGGCAGGAACACCATAGCAGTGATGCAGTACTTTTCCCAGGACATCATAGTAGGAGCTACATAATTTCCATTTGTCCCATTATTGGTGATGTTAACTTTGGCTATTTATTTAAGGTGGTGTCCACTAGGTTAATCCCCTCTAAAGTTACTAATTTCTCTTTTTTGTTAATAAGTAATTTGTAGATGCTTTGAGACTATAGAAATACCCTCTTCCTCATTAATCCCTCACTCACTAGCATTAGCATCCATTGATGATTCTTGGCAGAGCTGGCTATTGCTGTGATGGCTGCAAAATGGTGATTTTCTAACCCCATAATTCCTTCCACATGGATCATTTGGTTTTCCACTGTAAGGAAGGGCTTTCTCTTCTTGCTCCCACACAGGAGTGATACCCTTGACAGAGCCACATCAGTATAAAAGGGGATATATTTGGCACTACAGCAATTCCAGTTGCTCTTCCAGCCCTCAGCCTCCAGGTCCACTCAGTGACAATGAGCAGAAATAGATATATTATGATTAGTCATGGCCAGGTGGGGTGGCTCACACCTGTAATCCCAGCACTCTGCAGGGCTGAGACAGGAGGATCACTTGAGCCCAGGAGTTTGAGACCAGCCTGGGCAACAGCGCAAAACTCTGTCTCTACAAAACATACAAAAATTAGCTGGGCATGGTGATGCATACCTGTAATCCCAGATACTCAGGAAGCTTAGGCAGGAGGATTGCTTCAGCCTGGAAAGTTGAGGCTGCAGTGAGCCGTGATCATGCCACTGTACTCCAGCCTGGGTGACAGAGCAAGACCCTGTCTCAAAGAAAAAAATCGGTTAATTAATTTATTTATGTCTGTATGGACTCAGATTCTTATTCTATTCCTTGAATATTCTATTGCTATTATTTACTTTCAGGGCCAAATTGTGCCAGATTTGGCTAGTGGGAGCCCCTTCAAGTGGCTCTTGTGTCCTTTTGACACATCCTTGTCATTTTTTTCTTTTTAGCACTTCCCTACTTTCTGGTACAAGATATTCCAGACTCATTTTGTACGTTCTCTGCCCTAGCCTTGAATTAGCAACTTCTGCAAGGAGCCCTGGTTCCTTAAAGTGAAGAATGATATTTAGAAATCAAGATCTGGGTGCTAGGTATGTTCATTGCCACTGGGATGTCTTGGCTTATAGTCACTTTTTTTGTTTGTTTGAGACAAGGTCTCCTTTGTAGCCCAGGCTGGAATGCAGCAGCATGATCGTAGCTCACTGTGACCTTGAATTCCTAGGCTCAAGCAATCCTCTTGCCTCAGCCTCCTATGTAGCTAGGACTACAGGCATGCACCACCACACCTGGCTACTTTTTCTATTTTTTGTAGAGGTGTGGTCTCATTATGTTGCTCAGGCTGGTCTTAAACACCTGGCCTCAAGCAATTATCCAGCTTCTGTCTCCCAAAGTGCTGGGATTACAGGTGTGAGCCACTGTGCCTGGCCTTATAGACACTTTAAGTGGGCAGAGGGAAAGAATGTAAATATAAATATGTACAGTGATCTATCTAGGTCTCTATATATTAAAAACCATAAATTCATACTAATACGTCTAACTCCAATTCCTCAGTATGGGGGTTATTCTTCTCTTATTTCCTTAGTTGGAATTCCTTCTCCAACTGTGAGAAACTTGACTCTTATTCAATATATTTTGTTATTTGCTTATAATTCACAGAAAGCAGATTTAGAATTGGTAATTCATACTCCTACAAATACCCAAATTTTCTATCTGGCATTTAATATTAATTGCAGTTATTTTTGTTTTCGAATGTGATACATAGTCAAAGTACTGTGTTCATAAGTTACTCTGGTTAGTTCTTTTTCCGCTTTAAGTATGGTTACGTCATTCATTTGAAATACAGCTAGGATAATTTGTTTCTCTTTGCATTCTATTTAGATTTTTAACTTTCATCTTTGTTGATTTAATTGTATTTGATTTTGAGTATATGTAAAATATTAACATGATTCCAAAAATTTTAACTATATGAATGGGTCTACTCACTACATAAGAATTCTTAAATGGATAGAATAGTGGCTGATCCACTGAAGCACCTGGAATGATAACCTTTTTGCAGCTGATGTTTCACTGGTTCGCCTGTTATTAGGGGGAGGGCATTAGGGTCTATTTTGCTCCTCCTTGTGTTAAATCCAGGTAGACTTCCTAGCGGCAGCCTGTGTCCAGCAGGAAAAGCTCTGCCCTTTTGCTAAGGAGGTTGGGAAGGGCAGAGGAAGCCCTTGTTTAGGTGGCCTTGACATGGCTGCTGTGGGGTTTTGTCATTTGCCAGACGACATCAGATTTCCAGAGCTCATCTCTGGGCTCTGAGTTTTGAGGCTGCTGTGTGGTCCTGGGAGGCAGAACTTCGGCATCAAAGTTTTCACAGCCTCTGATGGTCTTGCCACTCTGCGGGCTGAGCCATGTGTGACCAGGTCATGCCCTTGTGAGAATCCCAGCCTTGAACAAGTGTGAAGATGCACAGATATGGAGAAAAAAAAAAAACAACAGATTGAGTCTGTGGGAATGACTAGATTTCAACCCCAGCTTTCATACCAGCTCTGTGGTAGAAGAGACTGACACAGCCACGAAGACCTCACATTTCTAGGAATGACTAAATCTATACAGACCAAGGGTGCTGCCCAGATCCTAACCCAGGGAAATCAGACTTTGACGGCTCCAATTGGATCCTTGCTTCCTTGGCTACAGAGCCATTTCCATTTCCAGCATCAGTCACATGGGGCAGCACTCAATGGAGGTCCATTCTGGAACTCCCACTACAAAACAGAAGGGATGGGCTCTCTCTTACTCAGAATGCCTGGGCTGGGCAGGGGTTAGAGATGCAGCTTTCAGGGCTGAGCTGTAGAGCAAGGATTCCACTTTAAACATGAAGACAAGTTAGCTGGGGAAAGCAGCAAATGCAGTCAAAAGACTTCTTTGTCTTCCTTCCAACTTCCCTGAAGAAATCCTCATGTATATTTAAAATCCTCTGTTGTGTTTTGTGTTTACACAAACTTTCACAACTATCATCTCATCTAAACTTTACAAAACCCCCCTGAGGCAGGCATGTAGCTGCACATGTGGACTGTGGCCCATGGAACCCACAGCCATGCTGGCGCCCGGCCCAGCTCTCAACCCCTGTGGTCCAGCACATGGGGCCGGTTCAGAGGCAGGGGAAAGGAATGAGGCTCCTCAGTCTGCCCATTGGACTGCAGTTCAGCAGCAGCTTGGGTATATTCTCTGATGTTTAATTAATAATCCAATATTAACTTTCAGAAAGCCATCTGCTGGTTCGCATGTGTATGTAATCCAGGTGGAACCAGTCTCTGCAGGTGCACTTTGGGAGAAAGGGGCAGGCTGGGTCTTGCTTCCACCTACACCCCTGACCTGAATGGACAGAAGCAGAATTTCTCACCTGATTGCTTTTCCTCCAGCTCCCAGAAAGGAGAAAAGGTGTCATCTGACATTGCAGATGCATTCATGAAGACTTAGCTGGTGACTGTTTGAGGCAAAAGGCTTCTGGGGCTGAGCTCATGTCATTGCCTCTGGCAGAACTTTCCAGCCTCTTACTCAGCTCTGCTTGCTGGATGCAGGATTGAGAGTATTTCCTACTCAGGTGCAACTTCCCCACCTTTCTAGACAACCCCCTACCCCCACCAATCTGCCCCCCACCTCGCTCAAGTATGGAGATTATTCACAGGAGAACGACTTCCCCTTCTGAACTAAAAACACCCACCAGGCAGTCATGGTTTTTCCAGCATGGGGCGCAGGCCCCTGGGCTCAGAGGGACAGGAGTCTGGCTTCTTGTCCTGGGGGCTTGGGAAGGAAGACCCTAGCAATGAGGAGCATGGCAGAGGGATCATCCTGGGCCAGGCGCCAAGTCGCCGCACCCCTGGAACCTGTCAAGCTGGCCCCTGCCAGGCTGAGGGTCTTCAGGGAGGAGAGGACTCTTGCCCTCAGGCATGTTTTATGCTGCCCTTTCTGAGGGATTGATTTGCCCCTTGCTTTTCTTATCCCCCTCATCCTCTATCTCTACTTTGCTGTAGACTCAATCCTGGGTGTAGGGTACATTCCTTTTCCCCAGCCCATTATGTCTATGTAATAGGATGTTGAATGGGATTCATGTTATGCTGGAATTGAGGACTGGGGCCCAAATCTGGGACACTAGGTCCTAAAGAGAGCTACCCATGGTTGGGACCAGACCTCTCTCCTGGTGTTTAACAAGAGAGCCTGGAACTGGCCTAAGCTTCAGCAACCATCACCCCAGCGCTTCCACCCCCTCCTCCCCTGGGCAACAGAAATGACTGGGTGGTGGCACTCAGAGAATCTTAGCGTGGACTTTGTGGGAGGGCCTATTTGGGTTGAGGGGTTCCTTCCTTCTGCCTCAGGGGAAGGAATTGGGGATGCAGACTCAGGAGAATCCAGTACTTTGTGTGTATGTGGACGGGAGCTGACATTCTGTCCTCATGTTACATGTCTGCCCGTACTGCAGACCGTGGTCCTGCCCCTCAGCCTGTCAGAGCAGGAGCTGAAGAGAACGGGAGAGCACGCAGGACAGAGCAAGAGCTCTCACGACGCAAGGGAGCTGCTTTGAGTTCTCCAGCCAGTCCTCTCCCAAGAGGCGAGCTCTGGGCACTAGCTAAAGTCTGAATGGCATCACAAATGTGGCGAGCCTGGACAAGGGATCTGTGAGAAGAGCGGGGACACACAAGCTGCTACTTCTTTTTTTTTGAGACAGGGTCTCACTCTATCACCCAGCCTGGAGTGCAGTGGTGCAATCTCGGCTCACTGCAACCTCAGCCTCCCAGGTTCAAGTGATTCTCATGCCTCAGCCTCCCGAGTAGCTGGGACTACAGGCACACACAACCACACCCGGCTAATTTTTGTATTTTTTAGCAGAGACAGGGTTTCGCCATGTTAACGAGGCTGGTCTCAAACCCCTGACCTCAAGTGATCCACCCACCTCAGCCTCCAAAAGTGCTGGGATTACAGGCATGAGCCACTGCGCCCAGCCCCAAGCTGCTATTTCTACATGGATGCCTGGGAGGCAGCGTGGCATCTGGGAAATATCCCTCGGGGGCTTTATTTGGCATTTTATTCTGGGGCTTTCCATCTCATCCTCTTCCCCTTTCTCTCTGTTTTGGTTTCGTCCTTTTCCTTCTTTCTCTGTCTCTTGCTGGGCTTATGTAGTGTCTCTCTCTTTCTCCAAGAACATCAGGGTTACTCCCTTGGAGTCAAACCTACGCTCTTCCCACCCAGTCTCCGATGAGCAGACTGTGGGAAGACTGAGTTATAGTTTTTTGTCATGTGGTGAGAAAAGGTAGGTACACACCCCTCAATATCCTGAAACAAGCTGCCAGGGCTCAGTCACCAAACCCATTTTAAACCAGTTATATTTTCATTCTCAGGGTAAAGGGTTTCCTGAAGTTTCTACCTGCTCTAAGTTTCTACCCTTGAGGCTGATTGACTAGTCCAGTGAGATCAAGGAAATGAAAGGCATTTCACACACCAGCAGGTAAACAAACGCATATGCAAACCAGCCTTCAGAATGGGAAAATGAAGGCACGCGTGAAAGAGGAATAAGGTTTCTGTCATCACAAAGGCATTCATGGGTAAGGCAGATGTATTCGCAGTTATGCAAAGTCCAGAGTGTTAGAATTTGAAACCTGAAAGACTTAAATTTAGGGGCAAAAAGGGCAAGTAATGTTTAGGTGAGTGTGGGGCAGGGAAAAGCACAGATCTTACAAGTGCTGGGGGAAGCCCTGGCTGTGAGACTGGGCCGTCAGGTTTCTTCTCTCAGCCTCCATCTCCTCAGCCCTCAGTGGGGCCCCCTCCCGGCCTGCCTCACGGGGCTGCCGTGAGGAGCAGAGCAGAGAGCTCCTGTGGAAGCTGATGGCACTCTCTACAGTATTAGTCTTTTTGTTGCTGAGAGTCACTGTTATTACTGAGGAACAGTCGGCCTGTAGCAAGCCACGATAGGAAGTGGAACACAAGCAGAGACAGGAAGTTGGGACCCATCCTGAATTTCGAGATGAGGATCCTGGGAAACACTCCTGCATTCCCCAGACAGGTCCTTTGGTACCATTTGCTCAAGGACAAGCCTAGATTGGCAGAGTCTTTGTTCCGAACCACGAGGACTGTTCTGACAATTATTGACTTTCAGGAGATTGCTCATTTGTGGTTTGTGAAGGACAGGCAAGCAGTCATGTACATGCATAAATGAAGCTTACGGAGTTGGAGACTGACGGAGACACAAGGGGTCCCCTGGCCCATCAGTCCCATGTGGCTGAATTGAGATCCCTGAGTATTTCTCGAGGCCCCTTCTTGATCTGTGGATGTCTGATACAGGAGGTGGAAGAGGAGCTGGGATCCTCCCTTTTGGTTTTGAGCACATGCCGTTGGCCTTAGCCTTTGGTTCTAGATCCTGGGCGCACCCATTGTTCTCAGCCATTCAGGAGCCATGCCCCGTGGACTCTGGATCTTGGATTTTTCCCTAAACTCTTGATTTTTCTGCCTTTTTATTGTGTTTATGGATAACATTTGCTCACCAGGTCCAGATTCATTGCACACAGTGACTCCTAGCTTTGGATGCCTCTCTCTCCCCACCCACCCCACCCAGCTGAGAACCGTAATCACTGCTGTAGTCGTTTGTGGTCACTGGAAGACTCTGTTCATGCCTGAGTTTAGATTAATTGCCAAACCTACATAAGAGCATTCACAGTGTGAGTTACTACTGGTTTTGTTTAAGATCATTTTAGTATATCCACGAAGTTATGGTTTTTTTAGTAAAGGGTTTCCATTTGAGTGTTTATAAGTGCCTTTGTTATTTGTGAATTGGAAAAATGAGCAAGGAATCTGTTTTTTCATTATTCGCCTCTGATTCCAAACAATTGTCCAGTAATGCTGAAGAATCCTGGGGTATCAGCAGAGATCACTGTATTAGTGCTCAGTAAGGAAAACAGAAATAACTTCAGTCATTTTAAACAGGGAATCTCATCCACAGGGCTGATTGCAGAGGTGTTAGAAGGGCTGAAGGAGCAAAGAGCGCTTCAGTAAGGTTGGCCAAATGTCAACTGCCGGAAGCTGCTGTCCCTGCTAGGACTGGAGGATGAAGAGGGCTCATGACCATGAGCCCCAGGAGGTGAAACCCAGAATCTCACACTCACTTAGAAGTGTCATCTATTGCTTCTGCCTGCATTCCATGGGCTAGAACTCAGTCACACAGCCACTTCTAGCTGCAAAGAGGCTGGGAGTCTACCTGACTCCCTGACTACTTGAGTGATGACCAGAGGAAAAGGACTACGTTTGTGAATAATGAGTCTCTGCTACATATGGATACGGAATCACTGTTGTTACAAGAGAACAGTGATCCTTTTGTAGAGGTATGCTTCAAGATGTGTGTGTGCGCATGTGTGTGTATGTGCATGCATGTGTGTATACACACACACTTGCCCTGGCACAATAAGACAGGACTGTTTTTAAGCTGAGTTCTCCTACCTCCCTCCTCCTGTTCCACTCTCATGCCATCCCTGGCCCTCCCAATGGCCCCTCAGCTGATTTCTGTGTGTTCTGTTTGCAGGATGCCCTGGCCCAGCCCCAGCCCTGGTGGAAGACCCAGCTGTTCATGTGGGAGCCTGTGCTGTTTGGGACCTGGGATGGTGTGTTCACATCCTGCATGATCAACATCTTTGGGGTTGTGCTCTTCCTGAGGACTGGCTGGCTGGTGGTGAGTGCTGAGTTGGTGGCCTGGAGCCTCTCACGGGCCCAAGACAGGAAAGCTCTGCCACTCTTGCATTCTACAGTGCAGGCCACAGATTCCTGAAGCACAGATGCTCCTGAAACACGAAACAGAAGCAAGCACGATGAATAGCTAGCATTGCTTGTTAAATGAGCATCCTGTGAAGATAGGCTTCCGAATTTCTAATGGAAACCTCACACCATAGATTTAACTGCAGAATAGGAGCACAGAAGTCAGGGCTCATCATGAGCCGGACTTGAGATGGGTCAGAGAGATCAGATTGATGGCAATTTTGCCTCCAGCTTGTGGCCCTCTGTAGTTTTCCCGGTATTCTTCACTTCATCTTGGGCCCGCCCACATGGTTGCCTTCCCCCACCACACTGCAACCCTGTAGGTAAGACTGTGCATGGGGATGCTTGGTCAGAGGTGTGGGCCGCCTACCTCTAGGGATGGATTGCCTAGGATGGACTCTGCTGTGTGAGATCCTGGGGGTCAGTTCATCTCCCCCTGTAGAAGGAACAAAAGGCCTCTTCTTTAATTCTTATGCAAAGCATCCTAGGACCTTCCAAGCAGATGTGTGCCTGGGGCAGGGGTTCTCAGTCCCACACACAGTGCCATCTCATGCAGTGGGACTTCAGTAGACCACACAGGTGCGCAGAACAAAAGGCAAGCCAGTCACCATCTAAACATGGATGAGCACCTGCTGTGGGCCAAGCACTACTTAGTGCCAGTGGGATCACAAAAGACAAGACATGGCCTGGGCCCTCATCCCCTCCTCTCTTCCCCGCCCCGCCCTATGAGCTAACAGCTGTGGTGGGTAGATATTGCATTAGGAGAGTTCTGAAAACAGCATTAAGTCCCTTGGGGTGGAACAGGCTATGAGTGCTGCAGTCACTGAGGTGTCAGGAAGCCTTCCTGGAGGAGATGCAGTTGAGCCAGGCTTTGAAGGGTGAGCTGGACTAGATGGGTGAAAGAGAGGAGGCCATTCAAGGTGTAGAATCTACTAGTCAGGATTCTCCAGAGAAACAGGCCAATGCCAACAGGAGATGTAAGTATGTCATGTATATATTAGCAGGTAAGGATTGATGCTGCAGTCTTGAGTCTGAAGGCTGGAAATGCAGGAAGAATTTCTGTATTGCAGCCTGGAGGCAGAATTCCTTCCTCTTTGGGAAACCAGCCTTTGCTTGTAAGGCCTTCAACTGATTAGACGAGGCCCACCCATACTATGGAGGGTAATCTCCTTTACTTAAGGTCAACTGATAGTAAATATTAATCACATCTGAAAATCACCTTTACAGCAACATTTAGACTAGTGTTTGACTAAACAATTAGTTGCCGTAGTCTAGCCAAGTTGACATATAAAATTAACCATTACATAG
This sequence comes from Homo sapiens, assembly GCF_000001405.40. Classification (NCBI taxonomy): domain Eukaryota; kingdom Metazoa; phylum Chordata; class Mammalia; order Primates; family Hominidae; genus Homo; species Homo sapiens. The sequence goes on along the minus strand of NC_000003.12, from coordinate 125,188,983 downwards.
GCAAATTTGGGGAGATTTAAGCTCCTTTATAGTGGGATGTACAGGATTCTTAGCCCCCATAAGAAGTCTGGGCAAGACCAGACCTTCCTAAGCTCTCATTCTACACCACACTCAGATCCTCAGCTCAGGTTTCGGCCTTAGCCACAGCCAGGGTGGGTCTCAGACCAGCAGTGGAGCCCTTGAGCATTATATTATAAACACTGGAACAGAGTACAACTGACTTCCAGGACAATTTTCCAGCTCATGTTAGGCCACTCAGCTCTTGAACTGGCTCTGCCCACTCCTAGGACCCTCTCCAGCACTCACAACACATGAAGTCTTGACTATCAGGAGTCTTCCTTGCTTTCTATTGCAAAACATGTGACATTACATCTCCTTCTTAGAAGTGCTGTGTCCACTGCCTCTCTGCGACTCTTGCTTTTCACACTGAAATGTGTCTGTCTACATGTGTTCATCTCCAGCCATGCATGGTTTGTTTATTCGCTCAACAAGCATTTAATGAACACCTATTTTGTGGAGGTTATGCTAAGCACTGAGAATATGAAGGGGAAGAAAACATGATCCTGCTCCGTATTAGTCCATGTTACATTGCTATAAAGGAATACCTGAGGCTAATTTATGAAGAAAAGAGGTTTATTTAGCTCACAGTTCTGCAGGCTGTACAAGAAGCATGGCACCAGCATCTGCACTTGGTGAGGCCTCAGCAAGCTTTCACTCATGGGGGAAGGTGAAGAGGGAGCAGCGTGCCACGTAGCCGGAGAGAAGGCAAGAGAGATGCCAGGCTCTTTTAAACAACCAGCTCTCCTGTGAACGAACAGAGTGAGAACTCACCCATTACTGTGGGAGGACACCAAGCCATTCACGAGGGGTCCACCCCCATGACCCAAACACCTCCCACCAGGCCCCACCTCCAACATTGGGGATCACATTTCGACATGAGATTTGGAAGGGATCCAAATCCAAACATCTAAACCATATCATCCTCCCCTGGAGCTCACAGCCTAGAGGTCAAAACTGGCTTGGAAACAGACTCAATATGACAAGTCCTGTGAAAAGTACTAAGCCCTGGCACTGGAGGAGCCCAGAGAAAGGGTTACAGGGCCAGCTTCCTGGTGAGAAATCCTAAACGTTGAGGCCTAAAGGATATGCTGGAGTTAACCTGACAAAGGTACAGAATGAGCAGGAGAGGCCTTCCAGGCAGGGGAATCAGCATGAGGAGGGGTGGGGGTGGGGAGAGAACTTGTCGCTGCACGTCAGGCACAAAGTGAGATTAGGAGGCACCTCGTGAGGGCATCAGCAGCTCTGACTGTACCCTATAGGTGGGAGAGTCATTGAAGAATTTGCAGCCAGGACGCTTCCTTTCACTTAGAACTTCTTCCTGGCCTTGGCTGTTGTGGTGCTTGCTTTGTCCTTTTTAGTTGTCCTGACTCTGTGCCCCCACCCCTGGCCCCTATTCCAGTGCTGTGGGAGGAGGGGAGGTGGTCAATGCCCCCAGCAGGGAGCTGGCGGGGCCTCCTCACCTAATCCAACCTTGCTCCTTGCTATTCTGCTGCAGGGAAACACAGGAGTGCTCCTGGGCATGTTCCTGGTGTCCTTCGTCATCCTGGTGGCCCTCGTCACGGTGCTGTCTGGCATTGGCGTCGGGGAGCGCAGCAGCATCGGCAGCGGTGGCGTCTACTCCATGATCTCCTCGGTCCTGGGTGGGCAGACGGGAGGCACCATCGGGCTGCTCTATGTGTTTGGACAGGTGAGGCCTGCGCCCGGGATGCTTCCCCTGCCTGGCCCTCTGCCACTTTCTTCTTGTCCATTTCCTCACTTGACCTGGGGAGAAGCGAGGGTGGGGACAATTGCCGCATGTGACAGACGAGCAGGTTGGGGCTCTGAAGGGAATTCAGCAGAGAGTCAAGTCACTATCCAGGGCCTGACCTCTTAGTCCAGCACTCCTTTCCCTCTGCCACTCCCGCCTCCTGGATGCCTGATGTGACCAGCAGGGCAGGGCCTGGCCAGCACATTCTTGCTGTTCAATCTGGGGACCAGATTGCATGACAGTGGCTGAAGCCCAGGTGGCAGCCAGGTGGCAGCCAGGTGGCCTGGGCCCTGGGACGCTTTTTTACTGAAGATGGGTATTTTGCCTGTGCCAAAGGGCTTTCCTAGAAGCAGGCACTTCTCAAATGAGCAGGAGCTCCCGGGAGCATTTGATAGCTCGGGTGGCCTTCACAGGGAGGCTGACAGCCTCTTGTGTGGACGCCCTGTCTGAGAGGGAGAATGTTAATGAGGAGTGTGCTTCATCAGAATGGACGGAGGCACTCCGAAAACGAGCGAGTAGGGGGAAATCCTAAGGCTTTTTTAGCTAAAACACAGGCATGGTGACTTAATGCTGAGGGAACAAAGTACAGACATTAAGAAGCAGTTCTTTGTCAGCATTTCTTGGATTGAAAAAGGCTTTTATGAGAGTGCAAATGGTGGTGGGTGGTTGAAAAAACAGTTTAAAGAGAAGAATTTGTCTAAGTTAGAGTGTGCAAGAATCTCCCCAGAGAAAGCATCGGTTTTGTTTCTTTTATTTTTAGGCAGCAGGAGCAGGGTGTTTCAGCATAAATATATCTGATTCTCGAACAGCACAGAGCTGCGTGTGTGCATGTGTGGGCGGTGGGGGTGCCTGTGTGTGTCTAAGACAGTGCAGGAAAGGCAAACAGATGGCCTCTGCACTCTTAAAAAGCACTTGCCTTGACTGCAGAAAGTTATTTAAGTATAGTAGTTGGAGAGGGGAGTAATAAATGGTCAGTTTACTTTATTACCCTGGGGACTTGGTATATAAATTTTTTTTTTTTTTTTACTTCTCTGCTATTTTATAGCCAACCAGGCTGCAAGGTAGGCAAAATCCTGCTTTCCCCCTCTCGGTACAGACACCAAGTGAGCCTCTAGAGGCAGATGCCATGGATGGGCACTGGTGTGAACACCCCTGGACAAAGACAGGCATCTGTGCTGCTGAGAGTCCCACTTACATGGGCTGATTTGGAAAAAAGATGTTCACAGATAAGATGTTTTCTAAGTGCTGGCAGCCACGGCCTGAGACGCCACTGCACCAGCATCCCAGCTATTTTCCTGCCTTTCCACTTGGGCCCTGGTCCCAAACATTAGAGTCCCCCTGGTCACTGTCTCTGGAGTGCCTGTGCTTTGTTTGTCGCTGGCGCGGGCCAGGAGTCCCTGATCAGGGTGTGGTTAGTGTGTAATCCTTTTTATAAATTGCTGAATTTGGTTTGTTAACATTTTGTGGAGGATTTTTGTGTATATATTCATGAGGGATATTGGTCTGTAGTTTCCTTGTGATTCTTTGTCTGGTTTTGGTGTCAGGCTAATTCTGGCCTCGTAGACTGAGTTGGAAGGTGTTCCCTCCTTCTCTATTTTTTGGAGGAGTTTGTGAAGGGTTGGTGTTAATTCTTTAAACATATGGTAGAATTTTGCCATGAAGCCATCTGGTCCTGGGTTTTTTTTGATAGAAAGTTTTTTGGTTACTAATGGAATCTCTTTACTTATATAGGCATATTCTGATTTTCTACTTCTTCTTGATTTAGTTTTGATAGTTTATATCTTCCTAGGAATTTGTCCATTTCTTTTTTTTTTTTTAATCTGGGAATTTTGTTTTGTTTTTTGTTTTTTGTTTTTGAGACGCCGTTTTGCTCTTGTTTCCCAGGCTGGTGTGCAATGGCGTGATCTCGGCTCACCACAATCTCCACCTCCTGGGTTCAAGCAATTCTCCTGCCTCAGCCTCCCGAGTAGCTGGGGTTACAGGCATGCGCCACCACACCCGGCTAACTTTGTATTTTTAGTAGAGATGGGGTTTCTCCATGTTGGTCAGGCTAGTTTTGAACTCCCGACCTGAGGTGATCCGCCCGCCTCGGCCTCCCAAAGTGCTGGGATTACAGGCGTAAGCCACTGTGCTCGGCCATGAATTTGTCCACTTCACGTAGGTTATCTAATGCATCGGCATATTAATTGTCTATAGATTTTCTTATAGTCCTTTTTATTTGTGTAAGTTTGGTGGTAATGTCTCCCCTTTCATTCCTAATTTAAATAATGTCTTCTCTTTCTTTTTTCTTGATCAGCTTAGATAAAGGTGTGTTTACAAAGAACTAATTATTGGTTTTGGTGATTTTCTCTATTGTTTTTCTGATCCCTAATTCATTTCTGCTCTGACCTTTATTGATTCCTTCTTCTGCTTGCTTGGGTTCACTTTGCTCATCTTTCCCTAGTTTCTTAAGGTGACAGGTTGGGTTATTGATTTGAGCTCCTCCTTCCTCTAGGGTGCGGTTGGGGTTTTGAGGCTCCCTATTCCTTGTTCTTATTAACTCCCTCAGCCCTCATTCCAGGGCATGTGTGCATTCATTTATTTCTAATGATTGTCAAAACAGATTCCCTGATTTTACCCCCAAGCAGGGGTCAGCAAACTTCTATAAAGGGCCAGATCATAAATATTTTGGGTTTTGAGGGTCATATGGCTCTGTCACAACTACTCAACCCTGCCACTGTAGTGTGAATGCAGCCACAGATAAATGGCTTACAAAAAACGGGTATAGTTGTGTCCCAATAAAACTTTATTTACCAAAATAATCAGCAAAAAGGATTTGGCCAGTGAGCCAGTTTGTCAATCCCTTCCCTAGAGCATCAAAACTGAGGAGATATTAACACTTAAAGTAATGATTTTAAAAGCTTGCAGGTCGGGCGTGGTTGCTCACGCCTGTAATCCCAGCACTTTGGGAGGTCAAGGCAGGTGGATCACCTGAGGTCAGGAGTTCGAGACCAGCTTGACCAACATAGTGAAACCCTGTCTCTACTAAATACAAAAATTAGCCAGGCGTGGTGGCGCACGTCTGTAATCCCAGCTGCTTGGGAGGCTGAGGCAGGAGAATTGCTTGAACCTGGGAGGCAGAGGTTGCAGTTAGCTGAGAATGCGCCACTGCACTCCAGCCTGGGTGACAGAGCGATACTCCATTTCAAAATAATAATAATAATAATAATAAAAAGTAAAACAAAAGCTTGCAAAGGCTCGTCATTGCCCTGCATCCTACAAAACCCTTCCCCCTTCATCCCTCTCAGGCCTTGGTGGCAGGGCCTGCTCTGTGGGACCAAACTCTTTGTCAGGGGAGGAGACGATGGACTACAGACTCCCCTCACTCCCTGCTCCACTTACCTGTGTGGGCCTGAGGGTTCTTGGTGACTGTTTACCCTGAACACCAAAATGTCTAGCTTCAGCCTGTGCTGACACGTGGAAGAACGTTCATTAGTGGCTCACATGCTTTGTGCTGGACTCTGTATAAAAACAATGAATGACTGGAAAGTTTTTATGGACCTGATATAGGCCTGGAGTTTTTGTTATGGGTGTTAACGCATATTCAGGACATATGTGTTAATCCACCAACTCTTTAACCTTAAACCTGGAAGTTTGTGTCAGAAGGGGAGGGGTGTTGAGGGGCAGCGCTGGTCCTCCAGGTAAGGTGGAAGGAAAATGCCTGTGATTGTCAAGGTGCAATTTTGCTAAAAGAATTACCTTGGAATGGAAGCATTACACCCTGAAAATAGGCCACCTTCTCTCTTTAAAATGGTGAGCAACACCCACTGTGTCTTGTGAGAAGGAATTAGGCTTTTCTCTGTGGAGAATGAAAAAGAAAAGGAATGCCTGGTCTAAGATTTAGGAGGAAATAGAATACGTTTAACGTATAACAAACCCTTAAGACATTTACACATTAAACAAACCACCAGGAATGTTTTCCAAGGAAAAGCAGCATTCAGGTTGGAAGGGGTACCGCCTCTGGGGTGGCTGGATTGCTCTAGGGAAGGCTGGGCAGTTGCTGAGTGTGTGGACGAAGGCCTTGAGTCCTGGGCTGCTTCCCTAAACCTGGGCAGACAGGGTGATGATATACCCTGATTTAGTTTTTGCGTAAACATAAGGGTACTTTTAATATGTTTGCTTGTATTTTTTAATAAAATTCTTTGACAGTTACATAATGATATTCATTGTAGTCAGTTAACACATTGGAGACAATGAAAATAAAGAGCTTTCCCCCACACCCTTGAGGTGATCCCAGTGTTCTCTTTTGGAACATTTCCCTCGGCTTATACACATGTATTTATGGATTTTTGAAGTGCTTGCTTGTTTTTACAAAAATGGGGACAAGGCCAAGGCCAGGCGCGGTGGCTCACGCCTGTAATCCCAGAACTTTGGGAGGCCAAGGCGGGTGGATCATGAGGTCAGGAGTTCGAGACCAGCCTGACCGATATGGTGAAACCCTGTCCCTACTAAAAATACAAAAAATTAACCAGGCGTGGTGATGCACACCTGTAGTCCCGGCTACTCGGGAGTCTGAGGCAGGAGAATCACTTGAACCCAGGAGGCAGAGGTTGCAGTGAACTGAGATCACGCCGCTGCACTATAGCCTAGGCGACAGAGCAAGACTCTGTCTCAAAAAAAAAAAAAAAATGGGGACAAATTTCATACATTATTCCATGGCTTGTAGTTCTCACTTTAAGTAATAGATATATCTCTTGGTCAATGTTTTAAACCAATGCTTTTTAAATGGTTACTTAATATCGTATAGTATAAATATACCATAATTTATGGCTCATTTCTATTCTCCATTCATTCTTTTTTTAATTTTTTTTGAGACAGGGTCTCAGTCTGTTGCCTAGGGTGGAGTGCAGTGACGCCATCACAGCTCACTGCAGCCTGGCACTCCTGGGCTCCAGTGATCCTCCCACCTCAGCCTCCCAAGTAGGTGAGACTACAGGCGTGCACCACTATGCTCAGCTAATTTTTAAATTATTTTTGTAGAGACAAAGTTTTGACATGTTACCCAGGCTGGTCTTGAACTTCTGGGCTTAAGCAATCCTCCCACTTTGGTGTCCCAAAGTGCTGGGATTATAGGCGTAAACCACTGCACCCGGCACCCAGCCTTGTATTTTTTTGTAGAGACAAGGTTTTGCCATGTTGCCCAGGCTGGTCTTGAACTCCTGGACTCAAGTGATCCTCTCACCTTGGTCTCCCAAAGTGCAGAGATTACAGGCATGAGCCACTGGGCCTGGCCCTCTATTCATTCTTTACTCTCCTCTGTATATGTAGTTTTTTTCCTAATAGTCTATATTTTTGCATTTTCTCTTTTCTTTGTAATCAGGCTACCAGAGGCTTATCTATTTAATTTTTTTTTAAAAGATCAGCTTTTGTTTCTTGTATTTTTCTTTTGTTATTTTTTCTTCTATTTCATTAATTTCATATTTCTTTATATAAAATACTTCTCTCTATTATCTTTTTATTTATGTTGATATTTTTGTGACTGAAGTTAATTCTTCGTTCCTTTATTTTTCTTTTTTTTTTTTTTTTTTTTGAGACGGAGTCTCGCTCTGTCGCCCAGGCCGGACTGCGGACTGCAGTGGCGCAATCTCGGCTCACTGCAAGCTCCGCTTCCCGGGTTCACGCCATTCTCCTGCCTCAGCCTCCCGAGTAGCTGGGACTACAGGCGCCCGCCACCGCGCCCGGCTAATTTTTTGTATTTTTAGTAGAGACGGGGTTTCACCTTGTTAGCCAGGATGGTCTCGATCTCCTGACCTCATGATCCACCCGCCTCGGCCTCCCAAAGTGCTGGGATTACAGGCGTGAGCCACCGCGCCTGGCCTATTTTTCTTTTTAACTAATAAAATCATTTAAGACTATACATTTTTCTCTTCTGAACCCAAGTTTAGTTATGCCTCTTGAGTTTTTGAATAAAACATTCTCGTTTTCATTACTTTGTAAAAAATATAAAATTTTATTTTTCATTTCTTTTGACTTTGGCAACATGTGTCAGTTATTTTTCTATTGCATTTTGGTTGATTTGGAAGTTCTACTATGCTTTTAGTTCTTCTAGTAGTGACAGTCTACCCTCAGAAGTCATAATTAAACTTATCCTTTTCTATCATAATTTTCTACACTTCTCAACCAAGACACATTATTTACTAGCTCCTCTACCAACAAAATATTAAACTTCTATGATACATTTACTTTCCTACTCTCCATAAACACCCCCACTTCTACCCCCAGACTCATTGTGAGAAGACGGTTTAATTTTGGACTGTTAATTGCTTTCCTTAAAGTAAGTCTCTTTGGTTTCAAGCATCCTTATTTACAACTTATATTGCAAATTTCCAGTGATGGTACCATCATCTATTTAGCATCAACAAAGTATCTTATGATATTCATAGCTAGCTACTGTTTCCTCTTCTTCAGCAGCGAATAATAACAAAGTCATAATAATGACGGTAGCTATTATTATTATTATTATTTTCTGCCCAGGCTGGAGTGCGGTGGCGTGATCTCAGCTCACTGCAACCTCTGTCTCCCGGGTTCAAGGGATTTTCCTGCCTCAGCCTCTCAAGCAGCTGGGACTACAGGTGCACACCACCGTGCCTGGCTTATTTTTATTTTTAGTAGAGATGGAGTTTCACCATGTTGCCCAGGCTAGTCTCAGACTTCTGGCCTTAAGTGATCTGCTCTCCTTGGCCTCCCAAAGTGCTGGGATTACAGGTGGTAGCTATTGTTTCTACAACTCTATGAGCCAGATATTGTTCTAGGTCTTTACATAAATCATCTCATTTAGTTCTCACAGTAACCTTTTGAAGGTTACTATCATTATCTGTATTTCACGGAGGGGTTAAAACACTTTCCCAAGTCAGCCAGGATTTGGCCTTAGATATTTTGGCTTCGCAATTCATGCTCCTAACCACCATGCCCTTACAAGCCTCCTGAGGAGCTTCCCCCACCCCCTACCCTGCCCCATCCCCTGTTGCTGGCATCTTTGGGCTAAAAAGCAATTTTAGATACAAACCAGAAGGATGAGATCCACTGGAGTTACTGGGAACAAAAGGCAGCATTTACAGCTTGGCTCACATTGCGTGAGCAAATTGTTCTACTGCTAGGAAAAAAAAAACAGTTTGGAAGCTTTGGATGCAGATGGTCCCATGGCATCATCCTCTGCATGTCAGAGACATCAGGTACCTGGGAAAGTGGTGCCCATATAAATGGTATCCATTGCTACATTTTTGTCATTTATTTTATTTACTTTTATTTTGCTCAGATAATTTTGACCATGAAGAGTCCTGTTGACCTGGCCAAATACTGATGAAATAACGTCACTATCACACATCACACTCTTGGTGTTTAGTAAAGAGGAAGTTTGAGTTCTGAGATGAATGCAGGAAAACATTAGTCTCTCTGTCTTTCTCTTTCTCTCTCTCTCTCTCTCTCTCTCTCTCAGAAATGATTGTATTTCCCTCACATTTCTTGGGCTTTCCACCTCATCCTAATATGGACAGAAATGTTTACCACTATGGGATGCTGGAATAACTGTTAAGCTAAGTGTAAATTTGGGGGATGCTGACAAACATGATATGTGCCTAGTTGCAAAGTGAGCTGATCTCATTGAAGAATGGGGCCTTGTTCACAAGCTCCTTTCAAATCCAGAAGTTGTATTACCCTTTTGCCTTTACACAAAATGGCTGGAACTCATGGAGCCTGCTTCCCAGAGCACCTTTTATATGATCAGCATATCACAAAGTATTTATTGAATGCTTGCAACATACTTAGCAAATGCAAGTATTTGAAGAGGTACAATCAGCATAAACAATTTTTTAAGATATTTGCATTCTTGGTGGTGGGGTGGGGAGACAAACTTACGTTCATGACATGATAATAGAATATGGAACCAGATAATTAATTGTATGGCCTTAGCAGTTAGCTTACTATTTATTCAGAAAAAGAGGTTGAGGAGAGGCCTCATGGAAAAGGAGGGACTTGAACGAATGAGGCCCTAATAGAATTTGTTCCCAGAGAATGGCAAGGGCAGGGCTACAGTGATTAGAGTGACCAGCTGGCCCTGGGGGCAGTGAAGGACAAACCTGAGGAGAGAAGAAGGCTGAGGCTGAGGAATTAGGAAAAGTGAGACTGATGTTATTTTCAACAATTTAATTTGAAATGATCTTTCAAATATTTCCCAAAAGATAAAATCATGATTCTCAGGCAAATATAAGAAAAACATGTGCCAAGGATTTCATTTCATTTTTTTAAAAAAAGATTATATAACAAATACTCATAGGAAGCCTAACCTGGAGCAGGGATTTTATTTAATTTATGAATTAATGGAGGAGCCAGTAAGATGTTAAAGAGCATCTGCAAAGGATGCTGGGTGGACAGAGGTCAGATTAGTAAATTCATAACTAGGCAGTTGAATAAATAAATGTTAGGATAAGATTGCTGGGTTAGATAGAAAATCAGTTAATGTCTTACAGGACAACAAATCCTAATCTTTTGGGTTATATGTTCCACTGGACAGAAGTTATTTGCATCTGTACTGGAAAAAAATCCATAAGGTAACATGTAACTTTATTAAATCTGGGGCATATAATGCATTTAATCAACAGCAAATAGTGAGTAAAATGAAGTACATTCACCTAGATAGTCCTTGGGTAGCCTTTGCCACATATGACGTTGAAAAAGACGTGCCACTCACTTTTTTTTTTGCTAAGTTTTAGATAATTTTAAAAATAATACTGACCTATAGAGAAATGAAGAAAAATCTGGTTTACTGCAGTGTCCTTTTAAGGCTCTGTAGATGGGACCCCCTGTGTGTTCTTGTTCTATATTTAGTTCTTGAATAACTCGGACTGAGAAATCCGGAGGCCTCTTTAGCCCAGTGTCCCATCTTCTTCCTCCCATAGTCTTTTCATCTTTGTTATCACTGACAGCCAGCTCTCAGCTTGGGTTCCTCCTTCATTCTTTAGTTGAGATGTAGACAAGTAGAAATGGGGCCTGAGGCAGGTTCACGGGTGGGAAGGGCTGGTTTAACCCTGCACTGGTCCCAGGCACTGTGCCTTGGTGCCAGTGAGTGTGTCCGATGGGGGTGCAGGGTTCTCAGCGCTGGGCGGTTCTGCCCATGGGCCCATGGCTTTCTGTCCTGCTGACTCTTCTACCTGGAATCGCATGTCAGTGTGTTGCAGGTGCCATGTATATCACCGGCTTTGCTGAATCCATCTCGGATTTGCTGGGCCTCGGGAATATCTGGGCTGTGCGAGGAATTTCAGTTGCGGTGCTTCTGGCCTTGCTGGGCATTAACCTCGCAGGTGTCAAATGGATAATCCGCCTCCAGCTGCTGTTGCTGTTCCTGCTGGCCGTGTCCACACTGGACTTTGTGGTGGGTTCTTTCACCCACCTGGACCCAGGTAAGCCTTTCAGAGTCCAGTATGTGGCCTTATGGATCTTCACTGCTTTAGAGATGTTTGTAGGTGTGAGTTTGCCCACCCCATCTCCCCCTAACCCCCATAGGCTTTACCTACAATTGGTGTGAGCTGTTCCTGGATCAGGTGAGCAGGTGTGTCTTGGAGCAGCTTCATGAGGCTAGAAGCTCCTCTTCACACAGACATCGCCTAGCACATTTTCTATGTGTCCTTTTATTTTCTTTTTTTAATGTATATTTATTTATTTATTATTATTATACTTTAAGTTTTAGGATAACATGTGCACAACATGCAGGTTTGTTACATATGTGTACATGTGCCATGTTGGTGTGCTGCTCCCATTAACTCGTCATTTACATTAGGTATATCTCCTAATGCAATCCTCCCCCCTCCCCCCACCCCACAACAGTCCCTGGTGTGTGATGTTCCCCTTCCTGTGTCCATTTGTTCTCATTGTTCAATTCCCACCTATGAGTGAGAACATGCGGTGTTTGGTTTTTTGTCCTTGCGATAGTTTGCTGAGAATGATGGTTTCCAGCTTCATCCATGTCCCTACAAAGGACATGAACTCATCCTTTTTTATGGCTGCATAGTATTTCATGGTGTATATGTGCCACATTTTCTTAATCCAGTCTATCATTGTTGGACATTTGGGTTGGTTCCAAGTCTTTGCTATTGTGAACAGTGCCGCAATAAACATACGTGTGCATGTGTCTTTATAGCAGCATGATTTATAATCCTTTGGGTATATACCCAGTAATGGGATGGCTGGGTCAAATGGTATTTCTAGTTCTAGATCCGTGAGGAATCGCCACACCGACTTCCACAATGGTTGAACTAGTTTACAGTCCCACCAACAGTGTAAAAGTGTTCCTATTTCTGCACATCCTCTCTAGCACCTGTTGTTTCCTGACTTTTTAATGATTGCCATTCTAACTGGTGTGAGATGGTATCTCATTGTGGTTTTGATTTGCATTTCTCTGATGGCCAGTGATGATGAGCATTTTTTCATGTGTCTTTTGGCTGCATAAATGTCTTCTTTTGAGAAGTGTCTGTTCATATCCTTTGCCCCCTTTTTGATAGGGTTGTTTGTTTTTTTCTTGTACATTTGTTTGAGTTCATTGTAGATTCTGGATATTAGCCCTTTGTCAGATGAGTAGGTTGCAAAAATTTTCTCCCATTGTGTAGGTTGCCTGTTCACTCTGATGGTGGTTTCTTTTGCTGTGCAGAAGCCTTTAGTTTAATTGTATCCCATTTGTCAATTTTGGCTTTTGTTGCCATTGCTTTTGGTGTTTTAGACATGAAGTCCTTGCCCATGCCTATGTGTCCTTTTATTTTCTTGCTATTAAAAAAACCAGGCCAGGCACAGTGGCTCATGCCTGTATTCCCAGCCCTTTGGGAGGCCGAGACAGGTGGATCACCTGAAGTCAGGAGTTTGAGACCAGCCTGACCAACATGGTGAAACCCTGTCTCTACTAAATACAAAAAAAATTATTTAGCGAGATCTGTTTGATGCTAAAGCTGTTGCCTGAGGTGAGAAGTGGGGCCTGTTTTTGCACGATGATATGCTGTCTTTTTGTGACAGCAACTCTGCTTTTCCCCTTGGAGGCCAGCCCGGATGTGCACCTACACAGTCCTGCCTTTTAGAAAAATGTTGGTTGTGGGAAGGTCAGCATTCGGTTGGCATCCACTGATCTGGCCTTACTACTTCTGAGCATGTTAAAATCTTCTGTTGGAAAACTGTCACTCCCCTGAACTCCCTGAGTATCCCCTACCCTCTGGCATCCTAGTCCCTCTCCAGGAACCTTCAGATGCCCCAACGATCCGGCACCTAAAGGGTTAACCCCAGGGCCCACTCTAATGCTCAGGGCCAATGTGATGTCCATACTGATCACCTGGAGCCCAGGCTTTGCAGCTTGCTAAATATTTGACGCATCTCCAGGAAGGAAACAGTGATTTTTTTTTTTTTTTCCTGGCCATGTACCACCCTGCAGAGATGGCCCGCATATGGAGGGAGACTTGCTGGCCTTTGGCTCATCAAACTGTCAGTGAAGGAAAGACAGAGTCCACTCAGGTCCCTGATTCCTTGTACTTCCCCCTCCAGTGACACGGTTGCTGGAAGAGCTCAATTAGTGAAATTGCAAGGCCGTGCTACTGGCTTCTTTGAAACCTCACACTAGCCTGATGTATTTTCCTTCTTCTTGATTAGAAGTTCTTGGCTGCTCTTCTAAGTTACTCCAAATATTTTTCCTTCCTTCTGGTCAATACATTAGTAGAGTGTAGTGTGAGATGAAATTTATTTTCAATCATTCCCATAGCAACTGGCTCCTCAAGAATCTGTTTTTGGTATCACTGATGTTTCATATGGGATATTTTCTTTGTGGTTAAAAATCCAAACTGAAACCAAACTATAAACCTTCAAAATGAATTTAACAGAGTGATTTCAACTCTTAAAAAATGAGGACATATACATAGACATTTGAAAAAAAGACTGGAAGGAACTATGCATAATAGCAACTATCTTTCTGTTGAGATTATATGTGGCTAAATTATCTTATTTCTACTTTTCCTTCAAATGACCAGTGTTACTTTTTTAAAAAAAATTAATTCACTTTTAGAGCAGTTTTAGGTTTATGGAAAATTAAGCAGATAGTACAAAAGTTCCCACATACCCCTTTTCTCTCTCCCCCACCACAGTTTCCCCTATTATTAATATCCTGTGTTAATGTGGTACATTTACTGGAAGTGATGAACCAATATTGATATGTTATTGCTAATAGTTTAGGGTTCACTCAGTATTATACATTCTATGGATTTTGACAATGTACAATGTTACGTATGCAGCATTACAGCATCATACAGATGAGTTTCACTGCCCTAAAAATTCCCTGTGCTTTGCCTTTTAATGCTCCCCAACTCCTGGCAACCACTGATCTTTTTACTGTTTCCATAGTTTTGCCTTTTCCAGAATGCTGTATAGTTGGAACCATACAGTATGTAGCATTTTCAGCTTGGCTTCTTTCACTAGTAATATGCACTTAAGATTCCTCCATGTCTTTTTCTGGCTTGATAACTCATTTCTTTTTATCACTGAATAAAAAGAAACTGGATGTAGCACTGTTTGTCCATTCACCTACTGAAGGACATCTTGGTTGCCTCCAGTTTTTGGCAATTATTAATAAAACTGATATAAACATCCATGTTCAGGTTTTTGTGAGGATACATTTTTCATTCATTTGGATAAATACCTAGATGCATCATTGTTGGAGCATGTGGTAAGACTATGTTTGTAAGAAACTGCCAAACTGTCTTCTAAAGTGGCTGTACCATTTTGCATTCCCACCAACAATGAATGAGAGTTCCTGTTGCTCCACATCCTCATCAGCATTTGGTATTGTCAGTTTTTTTGTTTTTGTTTTTTAGTAATTCTAGTAGATGCATAGTAATATCTCATCATTGTTTTAATTTGCGATTCTCTAATGACGTATGATATTGAACGTGTTTTTGTATGCTTATTTGCCATCTGTATATCACCTTTGGTGAAGTGTTTGTCAAGATCTTTTGCCCTTTTAAAAAACTTGTGTTTTTTTGTTTGTTTGTTTGTTTTCCTATCATTGAGTTGTTTTGTTCTGTTTTGAGACAGGGTCTTGTTCTGTCACCCAGGCTGGAGTGCAGTGGCACGATCTTGGCTCACTGCAACCTCTGCCTCCCGGGTTTAAGCAATTCTTATGCCTCAGCCTCCCAAGTTGCTGGGATTACAGGCATGCACCACCACGCCCGACTAATTTTTTGTATTTTTATCAGAGATGGGGTTTCACCATGTTGGCCAGGCTGTTCTTGAACTCCTGGCCTCAAGAGATCCACCCGCCTCAGCCTCCCAAAGTGCTGGGATTATAGGCGTGAGCCACTGCGCCCGGCCACTGTTGAGTTTTAAGAGTGCTTTGTATATTTTGGATTCAAACCCTTTATCAGATGTGTGTTTTGCAAATTTTTTCTCCCCAGTCTGTGGTTGGTTCTTTCATTCTTTTAACAGTGTCTTTTGCAGAGCAGAAGTTTTAAACTGTAATGGAGTCTATCTTATCAGTGTTTTTCCGTGGATCATGCCTTGGGTCCTTGGGTGCTGTACCTAAAATCTCTTTGCCAAACTCCTAGATTTTCTCATTCTAGAAGTTTTGTTTGACATTTAGGTCTATGATCCAGATTGAGTTAATATTTTGTGAAGGGTGTAAGATGAGTGTCCAGGTTATTTTGGTTTTTTTTTTTTTTTTTTTTTTTGGCTCATGAATATCAAGTTGTTCCAGCACCAGTTGTTGAAAAGACTCTCCTGTCTCCATTGAGTTGCTTTTGTGCCTTTGTCAAATATCAGTTGACTGTATTTGTGTGTTTCTGGGTTCTCTTTTCTGTTCCATTGCTCTGTTTGTCTATTCTGTCTCCAATACCATACCGTCTTGATTACTACAGCTTTATAGTAAGTCTTAAAGTTGGTTAGCATCTATCCTCCAACTTTGTCCCTTTTCACCAGTGGTTTCTTTGTTTGTTTGTTTTTTTGAGATGGAGTTTCACCCTTGTTGCCCAGGCTGGAGTACAGTGGTGCAATCTTGGCTCACTACAACCTCCATCTCTTGGGTTCAAGCAATTCTCCTGCCTCAGCCTCCCGAGTAGCTGGGATTACAGGCATGCACCACCACACCTGGCTAATTTTTGTATTTTTGGTAGAGACAGTGTTTCACTATGTTGGCAAGGCTGGTCTCGAACTCCTGACTTCAGGTGATCCATCTGCCTTGGCCTCCCAAAGTGCTGTGATTACAGGTGTGAGCCACTGCGCCTGACCAGTGTTACTCTTAAAATCAGAAAAAAAGTTTTTTTAAAGTACACTTAAGCCTAACTTTATTTCTTCCCATTTCTTTAAATATAAACAACGAAACAATTCCAAACAATCCTGAAATGTATAATGTAAAAATGTAAAAAGTAAAGTAAAGAATGAAAGTCTCCTCCTTCACTCAGTTTCTCCACTTCTTTCCAGAGGGAGATTGGTCCACGTATTAGTTATCTATTATTGTCAAACAAATTACCCCAACATTTAGTGGCATAAGATAACAATAAACATTTGTTATCTCTGGCCTTTTCTGTAAGCCAGTAATTTGGGTGTGACTTGGCTGGCGGCCCTGGATCAGAGTCTCTGGTGAGGTTCAGTCAGATGTCCTCAGGGTCTGTGGTCATCTGAAGGCTTAATTGGGGCTGGAGGATCTCACTGGCAAGTTGGTATTTCTTCTTGTTAGGAGGCCTCAGTGGTCCATGTGGTTCTTTCCTGAGAGCTGTTTTAGTATCCTTAAGACAAGGGGTAACTGACTTCTCCCAGAGCAAACAATCAGAGAGAGACAGACAGGGAGAGAGAGAGAAAGAGGGAGAGGGAGAGAGAGAGAGAACAGAGAAGATGAATTTTTTTTTTTTTTAAGAAGGAGTTTTGTGCTTGTCACCCAGGCCGGAGTGCAGTGGCGGGATCTCAGCTCACTGCAACTGCCACCTCCCGGGTTCAAGTGATTCTCCTGCCTCAGCCTCCTGAGTAGCTGAGATTACAGGCACTTGCCATCATGTCTGGCTAATTTTTATATTTTTAGTAGAGACAGGGTATCACCATGTTGGCCAGGCTGGACTTGAACTCCTGAACTCAGGTGATCCGCCTGCCTCTGTCTCCCAAAGTGCTGGGATTACAGGCTTGAGCCACCATGCCCGGCCTAATTTTCACCTTTTCTTTTCTTTTTTTTTTTTTTTTTACTTTTTAATTTTCTTTTTTTTTTTTTAATTTTTTTTTTTTTATTATACTCTAAGTTTTAGGGTACATGTGCACATTGTGCAGGTTAGTTACATATGTATACATGTGCCATGTTGGTGCGCTGCACCCACTAACGTGTCATCTAGCATTAGGTATATCTCCCAATGCTATCCCTCCCCCCTCCCCCGACCCCACCACAGTCCCCAGAGTGTGATATTCCCCTTCCTGTGTCCATGTGATCTCATTGTTCAATTCCCACCTATGAGTGAGAATATGCGGTGTTTGGTTTTTTGTTCTTGCGATAGTTTACTGAGAATGATGGTTTCCAATTTCATCCATGTCCCTACAAAGGACATGAACTCATCATTTTTTATGGCTGCATAGTATTCCATGGCGTATATGTGCCACATTTTCTTAATCCAGTCTATCATTGTTGGACATTTGGGTTGGTTCCAAGTCTTTGCTATTGTGAATAGTGCCGCAATAAACATATGTGTGCATGTGTCTTTATAGCAGCATGATTTATAGTCCTTTGGGTATATACCCAGTAATGGGATGGCTGGGTCAAATGGTATTTCTAGTTCTAGATCCCTGAGGAATCGCCACACTGACTTCCACAATGGTTGAACTAGTTTACAGTCCCACCAACAGTGTAAAAGTGTTCCTATTTCTCCACATCCTCTCCAGCACCTGTTGTTGCCTGACTTTTTAATGATTGCCATTCTAACTGGTGTGAGATGATATCTTTCAATGGAGAAGTGTCAAAGAATTTGAAGTCACATTTAAAAACCACAATAGTTAATTTTAAAATCAGAAAACAGTTATAAATACACTTAAGTCAAACTATATTTTTCTCTTTATTTTTATTTTAAAGACAAAATCAATGTCTTTGTTTCATAAAAATATAAAATATCCTGAAATTTATCAAGTGACAAGTGAAAGTTTCTTCCCTTCACTCCATTTTCCCACTCCTACTCCCCAGAGGGAGATCGGCACATAGCTTCTCAGTCTATTTTCTTTCTTTCTTTCTTTTTTTGTTTGAGACGGAGTCTCGCTCTGTCACCCAGGCTGGAGTGCAGTGGCGTGATCTCGGCTCACTGCAAGCTCTGCCTCCCAGGTTCACGCCATTCTCCTGCCTCAGCCTCCTGAGTAGCTGGGACTACAGGCGCCCGCCACCATGCTCGGCTAATTTTTTTGTATTTTTAGTAGAGACGGGATTTCACCGTGTTAGCCAGGATGGTCTCCATCTCCTGACCTCGTGATCTGCCCGCCTCAGCCTCCCAAAGTGCTGGGATTACAGGCGTGAGCCACCACGCCCGGCCCCCAGTCTATTTTGTATACATGCACAAGCTCACATGCACATGTGCATGTACATAAACACACACAGCACAGCTCTTTGTAAAAGTGTAATTAAATTCCACATTGTTTTGCTACTCCCCACTCTTTAACATATCATGGATATCCTTCAATGTCAGTACATTTAGGATGTCCTCATTCTTTTAAAACACCCACATAGCATTCCATATTAGAGATTTAAAATACTTTATATTTAAAGATTAGCTTACTGATGAGTATTTAGATTTTTCCAGTTTGTTGCTATCATAAATATTGCTGATGTGTACATCCTGCACAAAAGTTTGAGCTAATTTCTGCAGGATCATTGCTTATAAATAGAATTCACAGGACAAAGGTCAAACACTTTAAAAATTTTGTTAGGTTCTACCAGATTGCCTTCCAATAAAGTTGTTGCATTCTGAACGATCACTAACAGTAGCTAAGAGTTACTGATTCCCCATACCTTGGAAAATATTGAAGAGGCTCAATTTTTCAAGTTTCTGTCATGTGATGGGCAAAAAAATGTAATCTTTTTCTTTTAATTTGCTTTTCTTGAATCATTAATGAGGATTTTTTTTTGTATTTTATTCCCACTTGTATTTTTTTCTTTGAATTGTCTATAATCTTTCCCTGTTTTTGCTTTCTATTTTCCCTATTTTCTTTTCCAGATTTCTTTTTCTACAATCTTGTTCTGCTCTCCCTGTCAGATGCTGCCAGCTTTCTCCAAATGTCTGGTAGTCGCTGTCCATCCATTGTTGGTAATGAGGCACCACAGAGCTGATCGGGAGTTCCATCCACAACCCAAGTGGGTGGCAGTTGTGACAGGTGGGCATCACAGTAGGGTGATTGGTGGCAAACTGCGTTGTTTCATTGGAAGTCCCCCAAATGTTCGTTTCTGCAGGTCTTTCTCTGGTATAGTTCGTATTCTCCAGAGAAGAATTCTCTCATCTCCTGCCAGGGACATGCCCGGCTGCATCAGTTCGGGGAGCAGAGTGGAGGTGGGCAAAGGGGCTGGCAGCCTCATACTCAGGTGCAGAGTGTCATTCGTCAGATGCTTTCCCCTGGCACACCCCTCCCTCCACTGTGTCCTTCCGTCTCAAGTTGTCTTCCCCTGTCACCCTCACTCTATGTCTTGTCTCTCATTTCATCTCCAAACTTCCAATAACAGTGGGTCCTTCTCATCGTCCTCATTTCCTCACCTCCTGACTTCTTGATCTGCAGCCTGGCAGCCTGGGCCCCTCTTCCTTTCTTCACCTCCTGTCCCATCCTTCCAAAAACAAGCATCACTGCACAAGGCTCTCTGAAGACACAGAGCTTCTTCACTGTAAAAAGCTAAATAGCACGATAACTTAATTTAAACAAGACCCTCTCAGGAATTTGTTTGGCTTAAAGCTACTAAAATGCCATTCTGTTGGCTCATATTTTCATTTATGTAAGATGAGTGTCATGCCAAAATGATTTTATTGCCATAGAAGTCAGGCAAATATAGAGAAAATACATTTTAGAAAATAAAGTGACATGTGGCACATTTGAATCCTATGTTCTGCATTTAGAAATGAACTCATGCCTCTCCAAGCTGAAGCTTTTTGGTTATCTAGGAAGACGGTAGCCTGGTCTCTACAGGGTTCCACTCCAGAGCCTGCACTGCACACTCTCTGTCCTGCCATGGCCCTCTGCCATCTGTGGGAGGTGGATCAGTTGGGCCAGGCCAGGCACAGGTCCATCTCACGCTGAATGTAGCAGACGGGAGCTGCTTCTGCTGGGTGAGGGAGGGGGCTTGTGCTTGGCTGTGAGGACAAGGTCACTCCTTTGGAGCTGTAGAAGGGATGGGGCAAGCATGCCTGCCTCTGCTGTCTGCTGAGATTCCTTTATCTCAGGCTCCCATAATCTCCTGATCTTCAACCCCAGGACCTTGACTCATTTCTTATTCTTGAAACTTTTTGCACTGTTGACCACCTATGCTAATTTGAAATGGTCTCTTCCTACTTCTTCCACAATACAACACTGGCTTAGCTCTCTTCTTGGTTTTCCTGTTCCCTGATGTGGGCAGGGAGGCCACGGGGCTCAGTCCTCTGCTATCACGTCACTGTTTTTGTGCCTTTTTCCTCAGAAATAAACTTCCACCATCGCTGCACCAGTGGCTCTCCCCTGCTTCTCCAGCTTTCTTCAATATAGCTCTCATATCGCCAGCTCCTGTCGGATCTCTACCTGGCTGTCTGGGCACCATCTTGAATTAAAGGCAGACAAAGCGAAAGCCCTCAATTTCTCACTCCTCTCTTTAGTTAGCCTTTTCTTCCCCCACTGCCCTTTCCACCAATTAATCAACAAGCCAATAATCAGCTTATCATCTGAATGCCTATCACCATTTCCCCAAGCCTGGAAAACTTGGAAAAGAACTTTTATTTCTCTGTCTAGCTTAAGCTCTTTTATCCTTTACAACCCCACAGTTCTCACCTTAGATTAGCACATGTCATTTCCTCTGTGGGCCATTTAGATAATGTCCAAATCAGAATTTATCCCTTGAGGATCTTCCCTTTGGTTGTCCCCAGCCATTTCCTAAGGGCGACTGACACCTCCTATGCACTGAAGCCAGATCACTTTTCGTAAAACAGTGCTTTGCCTCGGTCACTCTCCAGCTTAAGCAGCATCAGTTGCTTTCTATTGCTATTGGACAAAACCCAAACCCATTCTGTTTGCATTCAAAGAGCCACATGGGCTATCCCTAAATTTCCCATTTGGTTGTATCTCCAATTCTGCCCCTTTCTGAACAATTCTCCGCAAAACGTGTTTATTCACTGATTTATGAAGCATATGAATACAGCTCTCCTTCTAATTCTGGAATTCTCTTCACCATGCCGTATTAGACCTAAGTTCTTGCTCTTGGATGAAGTAGTTCAGGAAATTGTACATGAAGAAGGCATGGTCTGAAATCCAGGATCCCCTGTGTGGTCTTGAGCCATGTTAGATGTTCTCAGCTTTGGTTTTCTCATTGGTTAAAAACAAGGATGAAAATCATATTTACATCTCCAGGCTGCCTTCCTGCCTGTCTTAGCATGGCTGCCAGGCCCAAGGCCCGTGGAGATCCTTTGGGTGAGGGGCTATAACAGTCTGCTCAGGACCCCAGGGACTTTAATGAGGGCATTTGGGACTCTGGTTCCTTGTTAAAATTTTTAAGGCTGGGTGCTGTGTCTAATGTCTATAATCCCAGCACTTTGGGAGGCTGAAATGGGTGGATGACCTGAGGTCAGGAGTTTGAGACCAGCCTGGCCAACATGGTGAAACCCCATCTCTACGAAAAATACAAAATTAGCCAGGTGCGGTGCATGCCTGTAGTCCCAGCTACTGGGGAGGCTGAGGCAGGAGAATCTCTTGAACCCGGGAGGCAGAGGTTGCAGTGAGCCAAGATTGTGCCATTGCACTGCAGCCTGGGTGACAGAGGGAGACTCTGTCTCCAAAAAAAAAAAAAAGTTTTAAAAATGTACTGATGAATGCTTTCAAGTATACAGGAAAGAGTATAACAGATATTCATTTATCCACCACCCGAATTTAATGGATATTATTTTGCCAGTTTTGCTTCAGAGCTCTATTTAACATAAAAATAAATAAAGCATTACAGATGCAGTTTAAGCTGTACCTTCACCGACCCCGTCCTGTTCCCCAAGGGACCACTGTCCGGAGGCTCATCCTCCCCATGTGTTTTTATTTTTCTACCATATGTAGCTGGCCCTAAGTGATGTCGGCTATTGTTCAGCGTTTGAAAATTTTATATACATTGTATCATACCGCATGGATCCTTTCACTTGATAAATAATTTGAATGGTGAGTGAATGATTGTGCAATTTGCTTTCTTTCAGCCAACATATTTTCGCAATTTATCCATGTTAATGCATGTCATGGCATTTCATTCATTTTAACTGTTCTTCGTGCAAGGGAGACACAGAAGAGTTACTGAGTGGTGAAAGTGGTGTGAGAGGGGTTTGCACAGGGCACCCGGGTCTCCTGGCGCTCCCCGTACAGTCGGAGAGTCAGGAAAGACTTTTTAGAGGAGATTGTCTGGGAGCTGAGTGTTAAGGGAGACGGACGCAGAGGCCTTGTCTGCCACCCAGCGGGGCTTGGGCTTTATTTTGGGGGCAGCGGGAAACCTGACTCAAGTTCATATTTTAGAAAGATTGCTCTTGTCCCAATACGGAAACTGGCCCAGGATAGGGATGAAGAAAGGAGGCAGGACTCACTTGAGAGGCTGCTACGGCAACTCAAGAGAGCCAGGCAGGGCCTCTAGGGTGGAAAAGAGACGAGATGGGGGTGGGGTATGGGGTGAGGCCAAGAAAAGGGATAAGGCTGACACCTGACTGGCTGGCTGGTGGCTTCACGTTCTGGGACTCGGGAGGAACATGGCAGCTGGAACAGGTGTGGGGGAAATGGCGAGGCTAGTGTGAGAGGTCAGCCGAAGACAGTGGCCCAGATCTCGGAGGTGTGGTCAGGGCTGGGGTAAAGCGCCCCGCAGCATGGGAGCAGGAGAAGCGGTGGGCTGGGCGAAACGCTTGGGCAGCCTGTGCTGGTTTGGAAGCGGAAAGAGCCATATTTGTTGAGTGAATTTAATTTACCAGAAGAGGCATTTTCACTGTTCTATATATTTTTAAAAAAACCTTTCTGACAAAATTCCAAACATACAAAGTGGGTAAGCTAAAAATCAATATTCTTTACCCAGAAACACACCCAGAATCTCCCCAGGTGGCTGTTCCACTCGGGATGCAGGGAACACATGGATGTTCTGGCTGCTCTCTGGGCCTCGCAGCTGGCCTGGCACTGTGTCTGCGGAGGGCCAGGCCTGGGGTCTTCCTAGGATGCACGGTGCTGGCCTATTATAGGTATTCAGGAAATACTTGTGCAAAGAACGAACACACTGCGTGGAAGGTTGTGATGCCTGACTCAGTGGCCTTTTCTGCCCGGACGGGTGAGGATGGCTCATCCATGGGTGCCTGGAGGGAGCCCTCCATGCCCCCATGGGGAACATCTGCCTGGGTCCCCCTTGGATGGGGCTCTGTTATCCTCCTGAGATGAAGAGCCAGCAGTTAGCTACCACCAAAATTCTGTAGAATCGTCCTCCCAGCAGGGCGTGTCCCCGAGTCTCCTTTGTGGCTCCCTTCGCCATGTGGTGGAAGGGCATCTACATGTCTTTGCCAGGAAGGGTCTTCTGGGCTCCAGTGAGCTAGGGCAGCCTGGAAGGGCCCTGCAGTGCCCGGGATGGCCTCTGTGTGGAGTTGTGATTCTGACTGTTTGTTTTCTGGCCTCTCATGGCTGGAAAGGCTCGTCCCAGGACAGCGGGCTCAACCCTTCCTCACTGCCCACAGAGGTACTAAGAGGAAACACTCTTTTGCGTGAAATGGCTGTGGGATCCTGGCATTCACGTTCTCCTTCTGGGCTGGTGGGGTGGGTGATGCTACACAGCATGGCCTTCCGCACTCTCTCATGTGACCCTCATGATGATGGTGGGAGGGAGGTGGGCTGGGTTGCTTTCCCCTCCTCAAAGATGCAGGAACAGTGACCTAGAGAGGTGAAGTAACTTCAAAGCCCAGGCCTCAGTCTCCAGCCACCTTCCTGGCCCAGCAGAGAGGAAGAAAGTCTCAGAATAGCTGATGAGCGGTTTAAGTGGGGGCCCCAGCCTCACAGCCTGGCCTCCATCCCTGGGGTTCTTAACCCTGTCTGCACATCAGAAGCACCAGGGGAGCCTCAGGTGTGGAAAGAAGAATCCCAAGCTCCACCCCAGACCGAGTAAATCAGCACTCTGGGGTGGGCCCATTGGTCTGTATTTTCAAGTGCTCCTGGTGCTACTGTGCAGCCAGGGTTGAGAACCTTTGCCTTTCAGCCTCTACTCATGCAGGCTCTGCTCTGTTATCTGCAGAGATGGGCGCCCAGGCTCAGTGGAGGAAACCAAGGCAATCCAGGCCAAGTACCTCAGCGCTCAGGCCGGCAAGACCCTGGAGACAAGACTGTCATCCCCTTTACACTGGGCACAGGCTCAGGGCCAGGACTGGAACTCTTCTTCAGTTAGCCCCTGACGTAAGGACTGGCTCCTTTTCCTCCTGCATTTCCCACTCGACCTGCACTCAGCTGAGGGCCACAAGTACAGCAAACACCTGCTTAGTTGTGGGTGTGGATGTGTGTGACGAACTGGGAAGGAGCACCAACTCTGTGTCAGGCACTTTGCATAGATTATTCTATTTATCTTTGAAACAACTGAGTGAGATGGGTGAGATGGTTATTCCAGTTTTACAGACAAGGAAGTCAAAGCCACAGAGAGGTTATGCAACTTTCTTGAGTTTGCATAGTCCGTGGCTCAGCCAGGATTGAAACCCAGAGGCACCTGACTCCAAAGCGTGATTCCCTGGTGCCCCCTGGCACCCGCTGGCTCTGGGGTGCCCTTGGAGGAAGTTGGTGAACTCCTTACTGCTTCCTTTCTCCTTTCGGATCAAGGGGGTCTGAGAACCTGCCAGTCTCCGCTGGGCCCGTTCATGCCTGGTTAAAACTGTTAGAGGTGAGCCTCTTTAAGGGGAAGCAGGAAATGAGATGTGGACTGTGAGGACCAGGAGCTGAGGCGGCTAAAACATACCTCCCCAGTGCCACCAGGAACAGAGGCCATAGACACGCTCAGCTCAGGACCAAACTCAAGTCCCACGTCAGGCAGGGAATGGTGTCCGGCCAGGCAGGGGCGCTCCCAGCTCAGCCCACAGGGCCTCAGCAGCACCTCCTGGAGCACACAGGGTGAGGCCAGCTTGGGAGCCCAGCTGCTCGGCCCCAGCCCTCTGCATCCTTGGCCTTGGGCAGTCTGACCCCAGCATCAGGGAGAATTTCTGCCCCTTTCTTGGATGATTCCTTGGAAGGTTGTGTTAATCAGCAGTATGAAGGGATCACAGGGCCCCTAAAGAGGCAGCAGACCTGCTGGAATTTGTGGCCACAATGAAAGACATGGGAAGCACCAAGTAGCATTTCTTTTTCTTTTTTTTTAATTTTTTTTTTTTTTGAGACAGAGTCTCGCTCTGTTGCCCAGGCTGGAGTGCAGTGGCGCAATCTCAGCTCACTCCAAGCTCTGCCTCCCAGGTTCACACCATTCTCCTGCCTCAGCCTCCCAAGTAGCTGGGACTACAGGCGCCTGGCTAATTTTTTCTATTTTTTTTTAGTAGAGACGGGGTTTCACCGTGTTAGTCAGGATGGTCTCGATCTCCCGACCTCGTGATCCGTCCACCTCGGCCTCCCAAAGTGCTGGGATTACAGGCGTGAACCACCGCACCCGGCTTTCTTTTTTTTATTATTTTTGTTTTTGAGACAGGGTCTTGCTCTCTCACCCAGGTTAGAGTGCAGTGGTGTGATATTGACCTACTGCAGCCTCAACTTCCCAGGCTTAAGCGATTCTCCCACTTGTCAGCCTCCTGAGTAGCTGGGACTACAGGTGTGTACCACCTGTATCTTTTTGTATCTTTTGTAGAGACAGGGTTTCATCATGTTGCCCAGACTAGTCTCGAACTCCTGGGCTCAAATAGTCCACCTGTCTTGGCCTCCCAAAGGGCTGGGATTATAGGCATGAGCCACCGCACCTGGCCCCAAGGACCATTTCAAACCTTTATTAGGTTTCTCCTGTCTTTTTTTCTTTTTCTTTCTTCCCATCCCTTTCTGACTCTGACTCTTTTTCCTCTTCCTCTTTTTCTGGTTCTGATCTCTTTCCCTCTGCCTGTATCCCTAGCTGGACCCTTGGTATGAGCTACTGGATAGGGGTTTCTGGCCAGGCCTGGGATCCTTCCTCTTACTGCCCTCATTCCTCTTTGTGAATCACCATTATGTATGTTAGTTACTACCTAGGTAGGTACTTGTTGTATTGCAGATGCTGATAATGAGCAGGTGTTTGGAGGATCCAGAGTGGGTAGCATTGATGATTTAGTCTTGAAAAGTTTACTCATTTGCTAGGTCCAAGCGCAACATAGGCCAATTACCATGTCCCGCCTGCCACTTGGCTGTGACAAGAAAGTTCTTAAGACCAAAAACAATCTGAATCTGGAAGTCCTCGCTGGTGCTAAGGGAGGGATGAAACCCAGGAGGTGGAGTTGGGGCTGGTGGATCTGCACCACGCTCCTGTTGCTTCCACCCTCCGTTGGCTTTGTCTCTGGTGACGTGATCTAAGGGACCCTGCTGATGGGATTGATACTGGGATCGCAGAAAGGTGGTTTCACTGGGGGCTCCAGGAGTCCCAGGTGCCAGGGTTGCTCCATGAGTGGCCTGTCTCAGCAACATGAGAGCCTTGAGGACTGGAATCTATCTCAGTCAACTCTGTGTCCTCCAACACCAGCACGGGGCTTGCTGTGGGCAGGGGCTCAATAGGTTTGCTAAGTGAATGAATTAAGGATGAATCAAAAACAGTAAAAGAAGTACAAGAGAAAGGCTCTGGAACCCACATGGAGGTGTGGAGAACCCTAGCCCCTTAGCTGCTTATCTGCAGTCGCCTGGGCGATGGATACTCCCCAGGCCTCCCTCCAGAGAGGCGCCAACCTTCCTGTGTTGGCAGCAGTTCGCAGGTATTCCGTCTACACAGAATGGCAGAGGATCGCACAATGCCTGTGTGGAGGCCCAGCCCAGGGTGGGGCCAGCTTGCAAGCCCAGTCAGACCTTCTTGGGAAGAAGGAAGGAAGGAAGGGTTGCAACTGAGAAGAAACTGTGGCTTTGAAAGTTTTCCTCCAGGGTTTTTTTGTTTGCAAGGAAAGGAGATGCTTAGGGAGGCGTTATATACTGGACAAAAGAGTGCGGCCGGGTCAGTGGTGAAATCAGAGTGCATGTCTTTCCCACAGCAGGTCAGCAGGGATAGCTTTGTCTGCGAATGCCCACGTGCTGGGAAGACGTTGCAGCCTCTGATACAACAGCTCTGTGTTCCTTAGATTTTTTTTTTTTTTTTTGAGAAAAGTACATGTGCTTCATATTACCTGTGTCCACAGCACAGATGTAAGTGAGTAAAATTTAAACAAGGATCCAGATAGCTGGGACGAAGAGTCTCTTGACCTGTTCTTTCCGACTGTGCAGGTTTGAGAGAAAGACCAGGGATCTGGCAGTGTTGGCCAGATATTCCTGCAGGTCAGTTGGAATCCAGTTGGGGATTTGCTGATGTGAAACACTCATGAACAGTCACAAAACCAAACATATGGGGCCAGAAAGCAAGACCGACTTGACCTTAAACAAAATCCTCCTTTGCTTCTGAGCTACACGCCAGGCAAGACAAATTTAGGGAAATAGGAATATGGATTTCTATTTGTTAAGAAAGATACAGTTGTTTCTCATCAGGCTTTTCCAGTTCTAGCACATAGGATTGCAGTGACCTCATTTTTGATCAATGGCCAATGCATTCAACTGTCTGGTGGAATAATCTATTAACTGGGCACCTGCCAATTGTCTAGAATAGGAACTAGCTTAGGCATATGTTTTAAAAAATGATAACATTGTTATGAGCCCTGCCGAGACAAGAGGATGGGAAGCCCAAGCAGGTCAGCACTGGCTCTGAAGTCAGTTTGGGATGATAGACTGTGTTTTTCAGTAGACTCACTGCCCTGTGACTGACCTCCCTCTCTCCCTGCATTAATTACATGGTATTTAAAGGCAAACCAACAAACCACTTAAGAGTCCCGGAACCCGGGCATGTGGAATCTGGATGAGTGACCTTCGCTGGGTCACACATAGCCACTGTTGGAACCCAGTTCTCCCAGCTCCCCAGCCAGTGCTCTGGCTGTGCCCTGTGCCCCCGTGCAGCTCCCTCCGAGTCCCATGTGACCACCTGTGTTTATGATGAGTCCTCACTCACATCTGTGTATCGATTCTCTTGCAAAGAGGCCCCTTATGGCACTGGCTGGTGGAGGAGGCAGCTATGCTGTTTGACAGCCCACCAGCAGGCTAAGTTTGCCACTTTTAGGGATCCATGTCTTAATCCTGAGTGTGAAAAGACTTAAGGTGTTATAAGCGTCACCCGCTTCATCTAAACTCGCATTTGCAACCAGTGGCTGATTGAGAGATGGCAAAGGCTGTGGACACCAGGAAGCCATGAGGAGAAGGACCCCCTCAGCAAGGGTCAGGACTTGTGGACCTTTGGATGGAAAGAACTTCACTTGCAGATAGTTATCATGTGTAGTCAGATGCTGCTTATCTGTAATAGTGAGGACAGTGGTAGCTAACCTTTATTGAGCATTACTATATGCCGGGCACTGATTTTTTGTACTTTATATGTATTAATTCATTTAACTCTTACAAAAGAAGTAGATACTATTATTCCCATTTTACAGTGGGGAAACAGAGGTGGTGAGAGGTGAGTACCTCACCTACCATAGGTAGATTTGAGAACCAAGTCGCACTGGGTGCGGTGGCTCACCCCTGTAATCCCAGCACTTTGGGAGGCTGAGGTAGGAGGATCACTTGAGCCCAGGAGTTCGAGACCAGCCTAGGCAATACAGTGAGACTTCATCTCTAGAAAACATTTTAAAAATTAGCTGGACATGGTGGTGCACACCTGTTGTCTCAGGTACTCAGAAGGCTGAGGCAGGAGGAATCACTTGAGCCCAAGAGTTCGAGGTCACAGTGAGCACTCCAGCCTGGGCGACAGAGCGAGAACCCTGACCCTAAAAAAGAAAGAAAGAATATTACCAGTACCATTGCTTCTTTCCAGTTGCATCTCCACAGCAGTCACTCTTAGACTTTTGGTTATTTATGTACCTACTTTCTGTTCATAGAGTCAAATCTGAGTCCCAGAAAAGGGCATGTGTCTGGGCAGCTGGAGGGGCCGTCATAGGCCTGGGGTTCTAGATGACCAGAGGGAGTGCTTGGGAGAGCGAGCTGCTCTGTAT
Source organism: Homo sapiens (assembly GCF_000001405.40). Lineage (NCBI taxonomy): Eukaryota > Metazoa > Chordata > Mammalia > Primates > Hominidae > Homo > Homo sapiens. The sequence continues at coordinate 125,159,751 of NC_000003.12, read as the reverse complement.
TTTTCCTCTAAGCTCCTCATTGCCTACCTCTAGGTCTCAGGAGTGGGTCAAACCAGAACACTGCCTGGGGGCTGGTGGCTCACGCCTGTAATCCCAGCACTTTGGGAGGCCAAGGCCTCCATCTCTCACACCCATGTCCAGAAATACCTGGTGCTGCCAGCTCCTGAGACCTCTGAGCATTTGGAGGGCTAAATCAGATTGGTTCTCAGATTTTCTCTCTGCTGACTTGACATTCCATTTTCTTGGGACTGATATCTGTACCACTGGACTATCTACTTTTTAACTTCTGAAATTTTGTTGCTGTGTTCTACTGTTTTCCCCATTCTTATGGATTTATATCCTTTTAAAAATCTCTTTAATGGGTGCGGTGGCTCTTGCCTCTAATCCCAGCACTTTGGGAGACCAAGGGGGGAGGATTGCTTGAGTCCAGGGGTTTGAGACTAGCCTGGGCAACATAGTGAGACCCCACCTCTAAAAAAAAAAGTTCTTTGATATATATTAGCAGGATGTGGGGAGGGAACGAAATTAGGTACATGTATTCAGTCTGCCATCTTAACTGATAAGTCTGGTATTAATATTTTTCAATGACAAACTAACCATACTTAAAAAATTTTTAATTAGAGAATTTTATTATTTCCTCTCCAAAAAGTATCATTTTTCATTTAGAAAGGTGTATTCGTATATCTCTTTGTGAGAGATCATTGTCTGTCTTGCTCTGGCAAACTTTACAGTCCTAGATTCAGGACTGTGATCACTGTGAATTCTACCCCTGATTCTAGGGACCATTTGTGGAAATCTGAATAGTGCTTTGTAAACAGATTTCTGAGTCTTTTTGAAGCCATTTGGGATGGTATCATGGAAGAGATATGAAGAAGGTATTTTCTCTTGGTGGGTTGCTGCAATATGATTTCTGACTTAGTGTCATCATAAATATTTGAGACTACTTGTTATCTTCAGTAGGTGTTACCTTATGGGCTGATACTTAATCACAGCAGTCAGAAACTGTGAATTTGCATGGTGACACCCTTCCAAAGTGACTGTAAGAGCCTTCCTCCCTGACTTTTGAGGATTTGCAAACAGCAGAGAAGCAAGTTTTTAGGTATCACTCCAGGGAAAATAGTGATTTCATGCTTGAAATATGTGGGAACAATATCTAAAGAAAAAGCTTAAGTTGTCTAAAGAGGATCTTATAATAGTTGGATACACTTATAATTAGAAAAGCCCACTGGGGGCCCAGGCACTGTGGCTCACACCTATAATCCCAGCACTTTGGGAGGCCGAGGTGGGCAGATCACTTGAGGTCAGGAGTTGGAGACCATCCTGGGCAACATGGTGAAACCCCGTCTCTACTAAAAATACAAAAATTAGCTGGGCGTGGTGGCACATGCCTGTAATTCCAGCTACTCGGGAGGCTGAGGCAGGAGAATTGCTTGAACCTGGGAGGCAGGAGCTGTAATGAGCCAAGATCGCGCCACTGCACTGCAGCCTGGGTGACAGAGCGAGACTCTGTCTCAAAAAAGAAAAAAAAAAAGGAAAAGCTAATTTGACATTGGGGCTTACTAGGAACAAATATAAGCAGAGAAATGGCCTACTTAGAAATGAAACCTTAGATTGAAACAAGAAAATGTATTTATTCCTGAAAAGATTTTCCACAGTGAGTTGTCAAGTTGTGTCTTGCTAACATTCGGTCCCTGATTCCTTCATTTCCGCCATCCTTCCTTGGCTCATGTGCCTCTTCATCTCTGTATTTCTTTGTCTCCTCCCCACCTAGATCTCCCTCTCTCCTCCACTCTAATCAGTTCACTGAAAAACTTTTCCTGAGTCCCACTATGTGCAGAACCAAAGCTAGAAATTGAGGATACACACAAGAATAAGGCACAGGCTCTCCCCTAACCAAACAATCACCATTTCCTGGGTCAGTATTTTAAAGGAAAATATGCAAGTTGCAGGTGGAGGAGAGTGGAAGAACCTTGACCTTGGGGTTTCTGAGATGTCTTCAAGGAGAGGGTGATGCGAGTGTACCCCAGAGGTCACACAAGTGTTCACCTGGTAGTAAACTGGGGATGGTGATCCCAAGGAACAGGAACAGCATATGTGAAGACTCAGCGCGCATGGAAGAGTTCAGAAAGTGCAGGAAGGTAGGTGTGCTGGAGCTGAGTGTGCTGGGACAGGGTTTGGGGACAGAGGGCCAGAAGGGTACAGAGCCTTTTCAGGTTCAAGAGAGAGTTCTTCCCAGTTCCCTGAGGTGATGGTGCTTCAAAGCGAGGAGGCAGAGGGAAGCTCAGGGAACTTTCAGCTTCTAGGGCTTCCAGGATTGGCTTGTATCACAGGTCTTGGTGAAAAGCAGAACAGTAGCTTGTCTCTGTTCAGATCACAGCCGTTATTTTTCACTTATGACAGGTTTATCGGAACATGGCCCCACTGAAAGTCAAGGAGCATCTGTATTTATAATTAGTGTATTTCCTTCCAGTATTCTTGCCTTGCATATTTGTATTCATATATGTGAGTAGATAGTACCTACTAAATTATAATTTTAACTTATTTTTATTAAGAACTATACATATTTAATTTAAAAATATATCTAAAAGCTATTTCCTTATAGCCTTTTTTTCATCCTTTTTCGTTTTAAAGCATAATTGAGCTCACATAGTATATAATATTTTTGAAGTTAAAACTAATGTAGCAACATTCAGAAGTCCCAGATGGAATGTACTATAAACAGAGGCTTGATGACATATCTTGAGAATTTTCTTAGTCTCTCTAGTTAGAAAAGCAAGCAAACAAACAAACAAAATAACCAGAAATAAGTTTAAAATTCAACATGCGTTTTAAAGATACGGAAATCATAAAAGCTGAGCAAAAGGTCAATAGGCTTTTCTTTGAAGCAGGGAAGGGGTTGAATCAGATTTGCTCTTTGGAGCCCTGCCTGGAGTTAGGGTAGGCACAAATGGGGAGGGACTGAGGCTGGGGCCCTTCAAACGTGGTTGCAATTGTCCAGTCTAGAGAAGACACAGCCTGGACTGATGCAGTCGAGGTGGGGTAGAGATGAAGACCAGATGCAGTTTGGGAGACAGTTTCGTGATCTCATTTTCTTGATTTGTTTGTACATGCCTCTTAATTGTTTCCATTCCCGCCCTTCTCATCCCACCTCTCATCCCATCTTTGGTCCACCACCGCCATCGGGAACATCCACATACTTGTTAAACACAAACAAAATTATTTTAACCAATGAGAACTTTGATTGATTTTTTGTCTCGTTAGTTTATAATCCAAAACAATGATGAAAACATTTAAAAGGGTCCAAGATCCTGCCATAAGTATTTACTTTTCTCGCGCCACTGGCTACATGAGTGGGTGCACACATAGACCCATGCATGATCACACACACTGATGGCCTGGCCCTGAGATACTGGAGACGAAGCAGCCGGCACCATGTCTGGCACATGAACTCAAACACTTCACTTCCTCTGGTGAACCTTGGCCAGCCCCATCCATGATTCAGTGACGAAATGCCTTCTCACTCTGAACTAAATTCATTTGCACGGTTTCTAGCGTGCTTTGTATTTTTAGTCCTTTTCCACACATGGCCTCTCCCATTGGATGGCACACTCCCTCATCACAGCACTACAGCTCAGCCACATGCCCCGTGAGAGCATGATGAGGCAGCCGGCTGGGGTCTCTGCCTGGCCCGGGGCCTGGATTATCTCTGTATGTGGCCACCATTTGCATGTGAAAATCACGTCTGGCTCACAAGTCTGTGACCCAAACAATAGTCTCTTTCACCCTGAGCATACGGTCTAGGGATGTGAAGGGAAATTTCCCTTGCTTCTCTGAGAATATGTGCCACTTTTCTGAAAAATTAAAAATAATTGGAGTTACGAAGTTGGGTTTTTTTTTTTTTTTTGGCAAGAGTAAGCAATAATGATTAAGAAAAGTGGTTCATCAACTGTTACCCTGCTCTTAGTCCTTTCAAACTTCCTTCTTTTTTTTTTTTTTTTTTTGAGACAGAGTCTCGCTGTGTCACCCAGGCTGGAGTGCAGTGGCGTGATCTTGGCTCACTGCAAGCTCCGCCTCCCAGGTTCATGCCATCCTCCTGTCTCAGCCTCCCGAGTAGCTGGGACTACAGCTACTTTTTTGTATTTTTAGTAGAGACAGGGTTTCACCGTGTTAGCCAGGATGGTCTCGATCTCCTGACCTTGTGATCCACCCGCCTCAGCCTTCCAAAGTGCTGGGATTACAGGCGTGAGCCACCGCGCCCGGCTCAAACTTATTTCTAATAAGCCATCAGAAAATTATGTCAGATGTCTACATCAATTCCTGCATCAGAATCTCACAGTGTCCTTATCAGACATTCTTTACCAAACAGCCTCGCCGAAATTAATACTTTTTGAAACACTGAGTATATTTCTGCTTGTAAGCAGAGAAGAAAGTAAGGTGGAATAATTTATTAAGATGAGAAAAAAGTCCTGGGTCAATTCACATTGCTGTACATTTCTTGAATTTAAGATTTGAAGGTGGTGCGGTGAGCAAGGGAAGTAACACAGTAGCTTCCACCCCGCCACCCACGGTTTCACTTTCCATGGTTTCCATTTCCCGTAGTCAACCACAGTCCGAAAATACTAAATGGAAAATACCAGAAACAAACAGTTCATACGTTTTAAATTGCCCGCCATTCTGAGTAGCATGATGAAATCTTGCACCGTCTCACCCGGGACATGAACCCTGCTTTGTCCAGTGTGGCCACACCGTACACACCGCCTGCCATCAGTCACTTAGTACCTGGCTTGGTTATCAGGTCAACTGTCAAGTAGCAGAGGGCTTGAGCTCGAGGCCAATAATAGCCAAGTGCTATGTCACGATGCCTGCATCATCCGCCTCACTTCTCGTCACGTAGGCGTTTTATCATCTTACATCATCACAAGAAGAAGGGTGCATACAGCATGGTAAGCTATTTTGAGAGAGAGACGTTCACATAACTTTTATTATAGTATATTGTTAGAGTTGTTCTATTTTATTATTAATTATTGTGGTTGATATCTTCTTGTGCCTAATTTATAAATTAAACTTTACCATAGGTATGCATATATAGGAAAAAACGTGGTGTATATAGGGTTAGGTACTATCCTTGGTTTCAGGCATCCCCTGGGGGTCATGGGATGTACCCCTAATGGATAAGGGAGGGGGGATACTGTAATAGCTAATGTTTATTGAGCATTCTGTTTGTGCCAGGTGCTATACTAAGCATTATACATCTCACTATATCCTATCTATGGAGTCCCTGTGTGTTATTGTCCCCATGATAAAGATGAGATAACTGATGTTCAGAGAGGTTAGATTGCCCAGCAGTTATCCAGCTGGTAAGCAATGGAGCCAGAATTTGAGCCCTGGCTTCTGACCTCAGGGTCCATGTCCTTAACCATCAAGCTCACATTGTTTCCAGCTGCTGGGGCCGCCTGCTCTTCACTGACTGAATTAGAAAACAAGCAGGACACATAAGTCCCATGTAGGGCATGGCATTGAAAATGCAGTTTGCGAAGCTGCTGACTAGTGAAGTGAAAGGGGACGGTAGTTAAAGTATTTTGCACTGGGAGACTTGAAGCCAGCATTCTCTCTACCACTGTCTGTGGGACCCTAGGCCAGCACCCCAATATCTGTGGGTCTTCAGTTTCCCCATAATAAAACTTGATTTTAAAATTCATCATCTGGCCGGGCATGGTGACTCATGCCTGCAGTCCCAGCACTTTGGGAGGCCAAGGTGGGTGGGTCACCTGAGGTCAGGAGTTCGAGACCAGCCTGGCCAACATGGTAAAACCCTGTCTCTACTAAAAATACAAAAATTAGCTGGGTGTGGTGTCACGCGCCTGTAACCCCAGCTAGTCCAGAGCTCAAGGCCAATAATAGCCAAGTGCTATGTCACGATGCCTGCGTCATCCGCCCCACATTGTCTCGTCACATAGGCATTTTATCATCTTACAGCATCACAAGATTCTCCTGGTGAGGCAGGAGAATCGCTTGAACCTGGGAGGTGGAGGTTGCAGTGAGCCAAGGTCACACCACTGCACTCCAGCCTGGATGAGACAGTGAGACTCCATCTCAAAAAATATATAAATAAATAAATAAATACATAAATTTCATTATCTCTTAGAAGTCAGTGGGCTGCCCAGCCAGGGGCAGAACTTAGTGCGACACTTGCCCAACTCCTCGTATTTGTCTTGTACTTCCCAGCATGGGAGATGTGTCCTAAATGAAGAAGCACAAGAACATGCTATTGAGAAGAGTCCCTCAATTGCGGCCATCCTTTGGTGTTTCTGAAAGTAACAAAACAAGGCATCAGATATAGCAGAAAGAAGCACTGGTGGTAGCTGAGAGAGTTTGATAGGCAGCTACAGAAAATCCCCATACCTTGGATGTTGATGGCACGCGGTGCTGAGTAGGAAATGCAGAGGTCATTGTTTTTCAGGCTGTAAAAACCTCAAGCACAGGAATCCCATATTATTGCCGTTTTATCCTGGCATCTTGGAAAGTACCGGGCACATGGTTGGCTCTCGGTTGCACTTTGCTGAGTGACTGACTGGGAAACACACCAGAGTGGATCAGCATCCAGTGAGGCAGATGGATGGACACAGTCCTAGGAAACGTAATCTGCGCAGCTTGTGAAAGTGTGATGAGAGTTGCAGGAGAATGGAGTTGATGGAACAGATTGTCAGAGCACTGTCTCCAAAGAAGAGGAGTGGCAGGGTGGACGGAGCGCCTGGCTGCACACACACCTGTTCCGCCTCCCTTTCTTTCTTCCTCCCATCCTCCCACCCTATAGGTAGTCATCAAAGCCTACGGGGTGCCAGGAGGTAGGCTTTGGGATACAGCGGAGAATAGGATAGCGATGGTCCCTGCCCTCATGAAACAGGGAATCCATGTCAGCAATATATGCTTTTCTGATTAATGCTATCAGAACACATGCTTCTTGTTAGCCGTGTGGCTGTGGGCAAGTCACCGAAACCCTTTGAGTTTGTCCATCTGTCTAATGGAAAGAAATACCCTCCTGGAAGAGTGTTTTTTAAAGGATTAGAAATAATATGTCCAAAGTAGTTATTTTTTCTTTGAGTTTGGGGGGAGGGGTGGTTCCTTCTCTCTCTCCCCCTGCCAACTGTTTTCTAGAAAATCAGCACTTACTGGATATTGTAGAGAATAATTTTGGGGTTTTATTATTTTGAAGACGGTTTCTTCTGTTAAACTTCTTCCTGCATCCTCTTGAACTGGCAGAAATAAAAATGCTAGACTTTTAAAGATATGACACTCTAGAATCCTGATTGCTAAAAATGAAAAGCATTCTAAAGTAAATAAAATAACAAATTCAAACAGTAAATCTGTAATGACCGAATGAGCACCATTTTAAACTCACACGTACCAGAGGTGATCGTGGTATGAGGAATGAGCATGGTACATTCTGAAGCTCCTGAAGTAATCAAGGGACTTCTGTTATGGCCTAAAGCAAACAAACAGCCACCATACAAACCTATATACATTTCTATTTCTTTTCCCTCAAATTTCTACTTGAAGCAAAAGGAAAGTCACTTCTTGCTTTCTCTGCCCCAGTAACTGTGGGTGGCAGCCAGTTTTTGGAGCAGTTCTGGAGCAATTACTCTGCAATCCCAAATTCCTAGTGTATGAACAAATCTGCTCAGACATTATCAGGGAAGAAATACTGGAACCTGGATTTTAGTCCTGGCTCTGCCACTTTCTCAATCCTTGACCTTGGGGAAATCACCTAAGCGTCAGTTTCCTCCTCTAGAAAATAGAGAATAATAATATCTGCCTCACAGATTATTTAGAGATTAAATGATGTAATAAAACGTATTTCCTCAATTCCAAGTCACCATCAATTTTAATTCACACCAAATTTTCAGGTGGAAAAAAGCCTTACATTAAGTCCTCATGTTGCTTGTAAGACATCCAAATTTCAGAAAATCAAAATGTTTTTAAAAAGTTATACTCAAAATGAGCAACTACTATAAATACGATTGCCTTGGCAAAGGAAGATTCTAAATAAACGTAAGACAGTCTTGTTATCGTGGTCATCCTCCCTGGGCGGAGGATCTGCAATCTGTGCCTGGGTTTCCCTGTCGCCACCACTCTGCTAAGCAGCCGGAAGCAGGGCTGCCCCTTCAGCATTTCTCTTGAGACCTACCGCACCCCCTCACAATCCCAGATCAGATGCCAAAGCCAGTGGGGACTGGACAACATGATGAGCCCAAACCAATCCACGCTGAGCTTGGCATCTGATTTGGGATTCTCCACCTTGCAGAGAATCGGAAAGTATCTCCACAATTTCTTTTGGACCGAGCTGTTCTTCCCTTTCCATGAGTTTCTTTTACACCTGACCTAGAGCCTCTCAACCATTTTTATGTCACTGCACAGCCAGAAAATGATAATATTTGTACAGCACTCCAGGGAAAAGGGAGGAACAGTTGGGCCAAGAGGCCAATGACTTCACCATCTGGAACCCATTCAGGGCATTCCAGCGTGGCCCACCTTCTCCAATTAGCCTCCTCAATGAAAAAGAAAGAGGGGGAGGAAGAGGAAGAGAAAAGAAGAAGAAAACCCTGGTAATGTTCACTGTTTTTTGCTTTAGAATTATAAGGGCACTTTAGTTTTTCGAAGCGTCTTTATGATAATGGTCTGGTATAGTGATCAAAATACCCTTGGGCTTGAAGTGCCATAAACAAACAAGTTGTGATACTTGCGTGTGTATCAGAATCCCTGAGGAAACTTGGTGTGTGTGTGTGAGCGCGTTTCCTAATAGCCTGAGGCCCGGGAATCTGGATTGTAAGAAGTGCTCCAGGTAGTTTTTTATCATGATTTTTAAGTCAGCTCTGGGAACTACTGTCTTCGAGGCCCTTGGAAGGTTTCTCCTGGCACTCTACCTTTCATGTTCTGCATTGCTCATTCTATTTTCCCCTGTAAAGGTAGCCTTTTTGATGCAGTAGTCCAAACCTCGTCTTGCGGTGCCCTTGTATATGTGCTCAGTCCTACCCCCTAGTGTACAAGAATCGCACTGCAAGGAGTAGATAATCAGCTGACCTGTGGGACCAGAAGCTCAGCCTCTCAGGCTTGCAATGTTCTCTGAGAACAGTGTGTCTCAGCGTTTGGTTTGGAGATTTCCTGTATCGGAATTATCTAGAAACTCATTAGAAAAACAGTCTGATCCATACTCTCAAATTTTGGACTAGTAATCTACATTTTAGGTAAGCATACTGGAAATTCTTATGTACATTCAGATTTGGAAACTACTACGTATATGGGATTTACTAATCCTATTGATCTGTAAAGGGTTAATTTGACTCACACATTGTTACCTGTCTTTGACAGGCCCCTTACTGCGAAATAACCATCCATGTACACAATGGACCCCTTGGAGTAACCAGCCTTGCTTCCAATATGACTGTTGGGGTAGTAACCAGGAGAAGGTGCTTAGGCCCTAAATTCTGTCACTGAAGCCAATGGTATGATTAAAGCTCAATGTGAAGACTTGAATACAACACATCCCACCCTCATTTTAGTTTCATCTGGCAATTGAGGTGTTTTTGCTTTGGCCATTATGGGTCTCCCAATCAGAGTGGAGCTTCTAGAATAAGTATTTTTAACATAGAGTCCTTGAGCCCCTGAAGTTGCATGCAAAATTGTATGTAAATAAGTGTATTTTTCTAGGACAGGGTTCAGAACTACTGCCAGATTCTCAAAGGCATTCTTGACCTGAAGGGGGAAAGATTAAGGATTAGAACAGAGGTACTTTTCAGGGTTAGAACAGTGAAGAATTATAAACAAAGGCTCATGTCCAGGTAAGGATTTCTGAGCCTCTGCAGACCAAGCCTGACCAATTGTCCAGCATTCCCCAAAATCCACCTGCTCTCCCTCCTCTTTTCTTTGTGCCTCATCCTTTCTTCCTTTATGCTTTTCTCTCTCTGTTTTTTCTCCCCAATCCTTTTGTCTCTCTTTTTCCCCTCTGCCCCCACTTTGCCATCTCCCCATCCCTCCTCACCTTCCATTTCTTCTCTTTCTCTCCCTTCCTGGCCTGAATAGGAAGCAAAGCATGTTCTTTGACTTGTTCTACCTGTTGAATATTTTCAATATTCCACTTATTTTATGTTGGTGGTTCTTGTTTGTAAAATTATGTGAGTTGCACATTTAATATTTCTCTGGCTAGATGAGAAACTAATGCTTTAGGCATCCTTGTTCCTTGATTGTTTGGATCCAGCCCTTGTTAGAAGGCTTTCTGTGGGCAGTGGTCCCCATCACCCCTGGCCAGCAGCAGGCATGCCTTAGGCCTCCCTCTTGTTCTGAGATTGATTCTGATGAAGAAAAACTGACTGACCAGAATCCCAGACCCCTGGCTCTGAGCCCCTACCCTGATCCCAAAACCCAGCTGTCTCTACTGGATTATTCTCATTTGCTGGCTTTGGCTTGGGGATCAGAGAAAGGAGCCATGGGCTGAAGAGGCCGTGGGACCTGGTCAAGTTTGCAGAAGGAAGTGCGAGCGAGCGCTGCCCAGCTTCGACCCCCGAGTCTGCTCCCACTCTGTGACTCTGTGAGCAGGAGGGATGGGCTGGCCCGACTCCCTGGCTGGGCGTTCCGGGTATGGATGCCTGCCACATGCAGTCACCAGCTGGGGAGGGCCCTTCCACACTTCTGAGCCTCGCCCGCCTCAGCCCTGAGCAGCTGGGAGTTCCGAGGAAGCGATGGGTGACCGCTGAGGGGTGGGCCGACACATCCTGCCTGTGCCCCCCCGCTGCTGGTTTGTGTTCCTCTCACTGCACGTGGCAGGTGTCCCCTGGCTGTGGGGAATTTGCAGATTACTCTCCATGTGACTGTAGAAGCGTCCCTGAAGGCACTTCTGGCTTCACCATTTTGGGGGTACCTCCTGGGGTAGGAGGCAGGATGGTGGGTCTGTATAAAGCACAAAGTGGGATATGTGCCCTCAAGTCACTCACATTTGGGTGGGGAGCAAGGCAGCCAGCTACAGACCCAGAGAACAAGGCAGGAAGTCCTGGGCTGACAGTGGGCATGCAGAGAGTGGGCTCTGTGGTGCGAGCAGCCTGTGAGTGCTGGCCGAGGGTTGGGGGTGGGAGTGAACCCAGAGGTGGAGCTGGCAGGAGAGTGCCGCCTCCTGAGGCTGGCAGGAGATGATGCCCCAAATTGCAAATTTGAAAGTTAAATAATATACAAAGGACCCACGTGGGCCCCCCACCCCACTCTTCTCCCCACTACCCTCACTCCAGGGCCCAGACAAGGCCAGTGCTAGAGCTTCCAGGCCTGCTCGCAATCCAACTTACATGTCCCTCTTGCCTGGATCTTCATGCTCCCTGGGGACTGAGGCATGCACCTTCATCTTCAGGGACGTGTTTTGAAGAAATATTGAGGCCTCTGCCACAGGGTTGACCTAACCCCAACACATAGGTGCCCACACCCCAGGCCAGCACTAGGCAATGGGGCAGCCTCTAGACATCTCCCTGGGGATTGCATTTGCCTTTAAATCTCTGGGCCCCATAGCGAGTTGGCAAGTGGCTGTCCTTGTTGGCCTAATGTGAAAGATTGCATCACATATACTACAGTTGTCAGAGACATGGCTTTGGAGTCAGACCTCCAGGTTCAAGCTCCAGCTCAGCTATAATTTGCTGCATAGAATTGGTCAAGGTAGTTAACCTCTCTGACCTGCTCTCTTTGTTTCTGAAAAGCAGGTAATAACGCCTGCCTCGCTAGGTTGCCAAAGCATAAAATAAGATAATGTTTATAAGAGGCCTAGTGTCATGCCTGGCACAAAGTAGGTGCTCAATAAATAATCATTGTCATTATCATTGCTTGTCCTGGAAGAGTAGGTCCCTGGAGGCCCTGGGTTATACTCTAAGGCAGTGCTTCAGGATCTGGGGATCTTGTTAAAATGAAGGTTCCAATGCCGCAGGTTGGGGACCATACTTTGCATAGCAAGGTAGTTTCCTGGGGCACCTCAATCACGTTCAGTCAGGAGCAGCAGCATCCTTTCTCCTCCTCTTGCTCTCCCCTCGTGCTCTCTGGGTTGATCAGTCATCAAAACACTTCCCAGGCTGTCCAGGCAGGATGTAGGGCAGGATGTATGGTCACTGGACTCATCCAGCACCCCAGTGACTGCAGCCACCTGCGGATGAGGAGGGGATCCGGAGGGAGGAGGGAACTTGTCTCTGACCTTGAGGATTCCTAATCTGACGGGGAGATGGTACAAACACACCTCACTCTCCATAAGCGCCTGCAGAAAAGGCACACAACGGCTTGCAAAGGAACACACAGAGGCACAGGAAGGGGCCACTTCTGGTTTTCTCCTCTCAGAGCTAGAAGGCTGAGAGCAGAGTGCCCCTGCCAGCCCCACAAAGGGAAGCGGAGTGCAGCCTGAAGCTGCAAGGTCAGGTGATATGGCAGTAGCCCAGGGCAGCCCGGGTTAAAGGCACACTCACTCAAGGCCGGCTCTCATTTAGTGGCACCGCAGGTTAAATGCTGCTCCCAGGCCTTGGGTCCCAGTGACCAGGAAAGTTTTGAAAATGAGAACATGTGTTGACCCTAGGACTAGGACAACAGCGCCCTTGATTTTGCGGAAGTCTTCCCTGGAAGTTGGGCGTGCTTGATATTGAGACGCTGCACTTTGTGTTTCTTGACGGCTTTGCTGCAAATTCTCACACACCTTGCCCTTGAGTAAAACCCCAAGGATTCCAGACGTCGGCAAACTCCCGAGCACAACGGTCCTTTCCACCTAAACCCCTGAGCACACAGTGATTTCTGCCTACATTGGTGACTGGTGGTCAGATGGCTTGCTGGGCAGCTTCCCCGCCCTGCTTCTCGTGGAGGAAGGGCCTCCCTGTGGTGGGAAGAGGTGTTCCCTGTGGCAACAAACAGAGACCTTGTCTCTACAAAAAATGTACAAACTTAGCTGGGCATGGTGGCGTCAGCCTGTAGTCCCAGCTAGTCGGGAGGCTGAAGTGGGAGGATCACTTGAGCCATGGGAGGTGGAGGCTGCAGTGAGCCGTGATCATGCCGCTGCACTCCGAGGGAGGCCACAACTAGTAGGCAGGGCCTGTGGCTCTGTCCTCACCTTCCACCATCCTTGGCCAGGAAGCCCCCTTTGTCCTCTATTCCCACATCTGTACGGCAGGGAGGAGCCCAGGCCTTAAGCAAGGATGCAGGGTGCCATCTCTGAGGATCCCTGGGGAGGGTGCTGTGGAAAGAAATGGCTTGAGGTTTTGTTTGATTGTTTGTTTGTTTGTTTTGTTTTGTTTTTTATTGTGGTAAAATATCCATAGCACACACTTTGCCATTTTAACCGTTTTTAACTGTACAATTCGGTGGCATTAGTTACATTCACACTGTTGTGCAATTATCCTAACCATTTGCGTCCAAAACTTTGTCATCACCCCAAACAGAAACTCCGCCCCCACTAACTTCTGTTCTATGATACTTTCTGCCTCTCTGAATTTGCCTATTCTAGATATTTCATAGGCAGTAGTTCCCCTTATCTACAGTTTTGTTTTCTGCAGTTGCAGCTATCCACGGTCAACAGTGGTCCAAAAATAGATAAAAATAGTATAGTACAATAAGGTATTTTGGGCCAGGCGCAGTGGCTCATGCCTATAATCTCAGCACTTTGGGAGGCTGAGGTGGGAGAATTGCTTCTGCTCAGGGGCTTGAGACCAGCCTGGGCAACAAAGTGAGACCCTGTCTCTACAAAAAATATAAAAAATTAGCTGAGCATGGTGGCGCCAGCCTGTTGTCTCAGCTAGTCAGGAGGCTGAAGTGGGAGGATCACTTGAGCCGTGGGAGGTGGAGGCTGCAGTGAGCCGTGATCGTGCCACTGCACTCCAGATGGGGTGACAGAGCAAGACCCAGTCTCAAAAAAGAAAGAAAGAAAAGAATAAAAAAGATATTTTGAGATGAGGGAGAGAGACCACATTCATAAAACTTTTATTATAATATAATTGTATTTTATTATGTCATTGTTGCTAGTCTCTTACTGAGCCTAATTTATAAGTTAAACTTGATCACAGGTATGTATATATAGGAAAAAACATAGTATATATAGGGTTTGGTATTATCTGCCATTTCAGGCCTCCACTGAGGGTTTTGGAAAGGATGCCCTGTGGATAAAGGGGAGCTACTGTAAGGGGAATTATACAACATTTGTCCTTTTGCATCTGGCTTCTTTCACTTAGCATGAGGTCTTCAAAGTTCATCTGTGTTGTAGCATGTATCAGAAATTCATTCCTTTTTATGGTGGAATAACATTCCATTGTATCGATATACCACATTTTGTTTATCCATTCATCTGTGGATGGACATTTGGGTTGTTTCCATTGTTTGTTATTATTAATGTTTTATATTTTTTGCATGTCCCCTGGGGCTAGGTGCCAGAGACACCCCAGAAAATAAGAGAGCGTGGTGCCTGCCCCCACCTGGCTCATAGTCTAGTGGAAAAAACAGGCAAGTAGCCAGCCAGTAACAGCAGAGAGATGGGGACCCATAGGACATATTGGACAAGGGCTTGGCCACACTGTGTTCTGGTCTCCCCTGAGCAGCTGCTAACTTTGTGACGTGGGCATCTCCTTTCTCAGGCCTCAGCTTTCCCATCTGTAAAATGGATTTGAGGCTAAAGACTGCTGTGATGCTAACTTTCTACAGTTCTATGATACTGAATCTTTAGCCATGGCATTCTGAGGGAGGCCCTGCTTTGTTTCTTGGGTAGGACTTGGGGTGGGGGAGAGCTGCCCATGGCCTCAGAACTTGGTGGGGAAGGGGTCTGAGCATGTGAATATTTTCAGCCTGGTGCTTGGCAGGAGGGGGGCTCTGCTTACATATCGGTGTGTTGATACTGACTGCCCCTTCCCTGCAGGGGTCACTTGACCTCCCACCCCGTCTCAGCTGCCTGCCTGGCGAGGATATCCAAGCAACAGTGGGGCAGGGAAGACTTCTTGACCAGCTTGGAGCTGTGCAGGGGCAGCTGATTTGAGGGGGCCATGAGTTGAGTTAGGATTATTTTGGGGGTGTCAGGGGTCAGGAGTTGAAGCATGGGAAGTGGGATGCCAGAGGCAGAGACAGCCAGAAGGAATAAGTGGTGGCTGGGAGGAACCCACAGCCAGGGTGGAGACTTCCCGTTAAAACAGCCCGTTATCCTGGCAGGAGGGAGAGTGCATTCCTTTCCCCCAGGAGATAAGGAGGCCAGATTTTCCTTTCTCAGGGCTCCTTTCTAGGGTAGGCTAGTGGGGGCTCTGTGGGCTGGGCTGGGGCCAGGTCCCTCTGGACCCCTCTGCAGGGTCCCAGCTGGAGCAGCTGGAGCTCCTGGCACTCATCCAAGACTCCCTGCAGCCTTGGACAAGCACTGCTGCAGCAGTGGCAGCACAACGTTTGAATCCCAGTTGCCTCTCTGTGCCTCAGTTTCCTTCCCTGAAAAAAATCCATCTACCTCATAGGGTAGTTGTGAGGCTTCAATGAGTTAATACGGTAAAGCACTTGGAATGAGTGGTATGCAGCGGAAGTAGACAGCACTGTTCTCACCCCAAGATGCCTCTTGTTTCCTGGGGCCCAGGTGAGAACCTAGTGTCTCCTCAAGTCAGATTCTTTTCACATTCTTGGGCATTTGACAGCTCTTTCCGCTGTAGGCCTCTCTAGGCAAAAATCTCATCTCAGCTTACTGACCCCAAGGCCATTATGAGAAAAGGTTCATTAAGCATTTAAAATAGAGCCCGTGTTAGCAGATGGAACAATTTCTTGGTTATTAGAAACCATTCTTCATGAAGAAAAGGCTTATCTTTCCTTTCACAAATGAGGAATCCTTAGCTCAGAAAGAGCCCCGGGACTGCCCTCCTAGACCGCAGGGCATGGCAGGAGCTGCTCTTGTTATGGGACACTTTCAGCCCCTTCCCTCCCAGGCCAGGGAGGCTGCCCTGACATCCCCCAGTCTGGCCTTTCATCCCCTGGGTTGCCCAGCCCTGGGGGTCCTTCCCACTGTTTCACAACAGCCAGTCCTCCCACAGGGTGGAGGCTCTCCCCATGGCCAGGCAGGGCTCTAGGCTGCTCCTTTCTAGGCAGGCTGGGCGGGACTCCCCTGGCCCTCTGGGCAGGTCAAGCCCCACTTCAGATTTCCCTTCTGGCCACTGTTGGAATGCCCAGCCCTCCCTCTGTGTATTTTCTCTCTGGGTGGGGTCTTAGGCTGGAAACCCTGTGCACATCCTCTCTCCACCCTCTCTTTGCAGGACCAAAGTCAATAGGGCTGAAGCCAGAGAGGAGACTGTGGTCCGAGGAAGACTCCAGGCTCACGCCCAGGACTCTTTGGGGGCCTCTTCGAAACCTATCATTATTTCCTCTTCCAAATCTCCAGGCAGTGATCAATACAAAGCAATACAGCCCGATTCAGTTTAATTTCAAAACAGTCCAACGCAATACAGCCGATTCAGTTCTATTTCAAAACACTTTTATTGAACACCAATAGTTGTACCAGGATTGTTATGACCCAGTTCAATGGGAGAGCCCAACAGATTGGGACTTGATACTATCTGGACTCCAAACTGTACTCTCAATTAGGGTTACTGTTCCCCTTTTGACTCTGCGTGTCTTTTGAACAGTTGGCTTCAGCTCTGCACTTCAGTTTCCTCAGTTGTTAAAACAGGCCAATGAATTAGACCATGAAGGTTTCCTCATCTCTCTGCCCTTCCATGTAATCTCTCATTATCGGCCAGTAAGGTTTTATTAACATATGGAACTGTGGTAGTGAGCTTGTTTCACGGTTCTGGAGCACATCCTGTATCAACAATCACAGAGTCAGGGAAGGGAGGAGGGCATGTTATGGAAGCTGGTTTGGGATTTTACCTCTGCCATTGGAAACCAACTGTGTATTTGGACAGTGTGTCCTGAGAGGCCTGAGAGTGGGCTTCTGGCTGGGAAGACTTCAGAATTAGAAGGGTTCTGAAAAATCATCTCGTACTGTGCTACTGAGAGTTCGATCTGCAGGCAGGAGCGTGGCATCTCCGGGGAGCTCATTAGGAAGGCTGGGTCTCTGGCCCATGCCGGTCTCGCTGACTCAAAATTTGCGTTTCAAAGCTCCGAGGGAAAAGGGCTTGTTTACAGTCCCACAGTGAGTCCTCGCATAACCAGGGCCCGAACCCTGGTTCCTGATTCCTGATTTTGCCACTGTTCTTGCCTTCCTCCACCCAGAGATCTTCAGGGTCCTTGTGCCTGGAAGGGGGCCCTGTGCTTCACGCCGAGGGAGGATAAGCATGGCAGGGACTTCTCCCAAATCTATCCTCCTTGAGTTCAGTTTTGACTGGGCTCCTCCCTGATAACCTGTAACTGCTTCACCCTTTGCAGCTCCCAGAAGAAAAACCCCATCCCCAGCCCAGGGAGGCCAGGCCTGCTGTGTTTAATTGCCCATCTCTGTGCCTCTTAGCCCATCTGGGGCTGGGCAGTATCTGAGTGAGTGTCCGGGCGAGGATGGGGCTGCTTGGGAAGGAACTCTTGTGGGTGACAAGTGGCAGGATGGGGCCCGTGGACACTCCCCTTCCTCCCCTTTCCGCGGACCCCCTGGGTCAGGCAGTTTCGGATTGGCTGCAGATCCCCGTCTCCGTGAGGCCGCGTCTGGCGAGGTACAGGTGCTGAGAGGCGCTGGGCTGTCCAGAGGCGGCGCGCGAGGCCGGGTGCGAGGTCTTGCGTGCGCGCCGCGCCCACTTCCTTTGCTGAGGAGCCTCGCGCAGTCTCCGGGGCCTACCACTTCCCCCGACGCCCTTCGGGCGTCGTCGTGCGGGTCCCTTCCCAGAAGCGGCCTCTCCTTTCCCTTTCCTCGCAGAGCCGCTCTTCCTGCGCCCTCCGAGCCCCACCCTCCTAGCTCCGTCCGGAGCCCTTCCTCCGCGCTGGCTATTCTCGGTTGCGCCAGCCTCTCCCATTGTCCATTCGCAGGAAAGGGCTGTCTGGCTGGTCGTCGGTCGCTGGTCCAGGGGTGGGGGACCCAGAAGAGAGCGCCGCCGGAAGCCCCCGCCGCGGCAGCAGCCCGCAGCCCGCAGCCCGCAGCCCGCAGCCTGCAGCCCCAGCATCATTTTTAGAAATCTCGCTTTCTAAGTTAGTCAACAGTGCAACCCGACGCCCACAGGGAGGGGTATGACTTCCCGACTCCCTCTTCTAATTTCAGCAGCCCCCAGCGGCGTAGGGGGAGGGGATGTCGGGGGCACCGCAGGTGCCACCCAGAGCCCCTAGCAGCCGCCTACCCAGGGCAAGGGTCCCATGCCCGGCTGCTGGGCACCCCAAGCAGCCCTGCTGGAGCAGTTCTCAGTCCCACTAGTGACCCCCGCTGCCTGCCTTTGGCTAAGGGGAGGAGGGTAGGCTCCCACGAGCACCCCTTGGGAGCAGATGGTGGGCCCTGAAGAGCCACAGCCCACTGGCCGCATCACAAGAAGCCTGAATTACCCGAATTCCGGGTGGAAAGATCAAGCCTTTCTGCAGACAGAGCTTCAAGGACTTTCCCTCTGCCTGTTCCTGCCTGGGTCTTGTTGTCATTTGTTCTCTGTCTTACCCGCACCCCACCCCACCCCCCTTTTTGTTTTTGTTCTTCCTAAAAGCATACAGCTCAAACTGGACCAAAGTATTTTTATTCCGTGGATAGAGAAACAGATGTTCAGGTCAAACCCAGATCCATTCACACGCAGCAGCTGCAGGCCCCATGCATCCCAGGCCTTCGAGAGTTGAAAGATGTCAGATGACAGGACCCCAGACCACAAGACTCAGTTTCACCAGCAGAGGAATTGAAAGCCCAACAGAGAGGCAAAGAGACTCTTCTGAGGTCAAAAAACAAGTGTTGGAAATCCCTGGGGAGGCTAGACGTGGTGGCTCACGCCTGTAATCCCAGTGCTTTGGGAGGCCAAGGTGGGAGGGTTGCTCGAGGCTGGGAGTTTGAGGTTGCAGTGAGCTACGATAGTGCCACTGCACTCCAGCCTCGGTGATAGAGCGAGACCCTGCCTCTTTAAGAAAAAAAAGGAAAGAAAGAAAAGAAAAAAAAAAAGGAAATTCCTGGGGAATGACTTTGGGATGGATTACAGAGGGTCAGTGTGGTAGATGGAGGCCTGAATTCACTCAGATGTGGGGTCCAGGACAGGCTGTGTCCTCCCAGCTGTGTAAGCTCCAGCCAGTTGCATACCGGTAGGCACATGGTGTTCCACAGGATAGGACTCCTGTCTGCCCTACACAAATGGGGCCGGGGGAGATGCCATGATCTCTGTGGGCATGTTTCCTGGGGCTGAAAGGCAACCTGTGCTGTAAGGGGGTGCAGTGCCAGGGCCTGGGAACCCACCTCCTGGAGAGAGGCCTGGCTTCTGCCACCGGGAGAGGCAGTGGGTGAAATACAGGCAGATCTGGCTATGTAACCCTCGGACAAGCTTTTTCACGTTCCGGAGCCTCAGTGTCCTCAGTTAGTCATCGTACAAGTATGACATTGTAAGGTCTTGTTGTTCAGTGGCTGGCACGTAGGAAGGGTTCAGTCACTGGTCGCTCAGCATTATTTTCAGAAGTGAGGTTGCCCTGTGGTGTCCTTGGAGTGACCTGCACAATCTCTGTGCACACAGTCTTGGCCATTGCTTGGCAAGGACTGTGGCATGAAGACATTATTGGCTATGTCACTCTCAGGGCTGCTGTCCACTCTGAGGCAGGGCATGGTGGCAGTCAGGCCTTGGGAAGTTGTAGGTGCCTCCTGGCGGGACAATCTCACGTGCAGATGTAGCTGCTAGAGTAGAGGTCTCGAACCTTAAGGTCCATGCTCTCCAGAGAGGCTTCAGAAATCTGCCCTTCCCCAAAATGGTATGCAAAATGTGGTGTCTATGGGGACAGGGACCATGGTATTCATCAGACTCTCAAATGGGGGCAACTAAAAGAATTAGGAACCTTTGTTCTGGGCATCAGCAAGTCAGGCATTAAGAGCCACTGTCGGAGGGCATGGCAGGCGGCATGGACCTCAGCCCTACCCTGGGTGTGACCCACTGACCTCACACCATGCTTAGCTAGCCAGTACCGGCCAGTCAGAGACATGAGTGCCTCCCCTGGGCACCCACTCTGCATAAGCCCAACAGAGAGTCAACCATGCCTGAGGTCTGGGTGGGCCACCAGGTTCAGGGTGTGGGAAAGAGACCCAGGCCCCAGCAGGCAGGATGGGGACCAGTGAGCAAGACTCTTTGGGGACTGGCTCAGGACAGGGGACCGTGAGGTGGGGTGGTGATAGGTGAGGGGTGCAAGTCATGAGGGCCTGGGAAAATAGGGGCAGAGGAAATGAGGCAGGGTCCACTGTGCCAGCTTTGGGGGCTCCTTGTTGTCCACTGGAAAGTGGCCCATGTGAGGGATGGGCCACCAGATCCAATGCCCTGCCTCAGTGCGCTTGGTCAAAGAGTTAGAAAATTCTCTCTGAATAAGGCCTCAGACTGTGGGTCATGGAGGTACGACTGGGGGTGTTCTCACCCTCTCTCTCTTTTGCTCAGTTTCTTTCTTTCTTTGGTCCTTATTTTATTTTTCCTGTCTTGTTTATGTTTTTCTCATAAGCCACTCAAGTCATTTTGGGAAACAGAGTACAAACGGAAAGAAAGAAAAGCTCTTCATACATAGAAAAGCTGACGAGAAAGTGGGCTTTCAATTGTGGGATGTTTTGTTTGTTTTCCTAAAAGATATTTTTTGATGACAAGTAGATTATGTTCATTTAAAAAAATTATTTTGTCACCCAAACTGGAGTGCAGTAGCATAGTCACAGCTGACTGCAGCCTTGACCTTCTGGGCTCAAGTGATTCTTCCACCCCAGCCTCTTGAGTAGCTAGTACCATGCCCTGCTAAGTGTGTGTGTGTGTGTGTGTGTGTGTGTGTGTGTGTGTGTGTGTTTTGTAGAAGGGGTCTTTCTGTGTTGCCCAGGCTGGTCTAAAACACCTGGGCTCAAGCAATCCTCCCACCTCAGCCTCCCAAAGTGCTGGGATTGCAGACATGAGCCACTGCACTCAGCCCTTTAACTTAAATGTGGATGTTTTGTAGAAATAAAAAAAGAAAGTACAAGAATTGCCTGTAATTGCATTATACAAACAACCACAGTTAGTATTTCGGTGTGTTTTCTTCTAGCTGTTTCTTACATGTATAGATTAATACACCTTTTTTTGTATTTATACTATGGCATCCAGTTTTCTGAATTAGCATATAGTATATATAACATGGACAGTTTTCTCTTATACTAAAAACTCTTTATAAGCATTTAAAATGTCTCAGTTCCACATAAACATTTAGAACCTCCTCTGATTTTTTCATTTTTTATTTATTTTTAAATTTTAAAAAATTGAGATGGAGTCTTGCTCTGTTGCCCAGGCTGGACTGCAGTGGTGCAATCTTGGCTCACTGCAACCTCTGCCTCCTGGGTTCAAGCAATCCTCTCGCCTCAGCCTCCAGAGTAGCGGGGACTACAGGCACACCCCATCACGGCCGGCTAATTTTTGTATTTTTAGTAGAGATGGGGTTTCACCTTTTGGCCAGGCTGGTTTCAAACTCCTAATCTCAAGTGATCCACCTGCCTCGGCCTCCCAAAGTGCTGGGATTACAGGCGTGAGCCACTGCACCCGACCCCTCCCCCGATTTTACATTATTGTAAACAAAGCATTGACACATATTTTTGTCCATAGCGTTCTTTGCAAAGTTAAGACTATTTCCTAGAGCAAGATTCAGAACTGAGCTTGGCTTCAGCCCAGAGCAGGCTGGGCCAGCAGTAGTGTGAGTGTGAGCGTGTGAGTGTGAGCGTGAGTGTGAGCGTGAGCGTGTGAGCGTGAGCGTGTGTCAGCGTGAGTGTGCACTTTGTGAATGTGGCAGGGCTGCATTTCTCATTGGCCCTGCAAGAGATGGCAACTGAGGCAGGCCCACGAGGGAGCCAAGTGACTCATTATCTCAGCCTGTGGGTCTTGCTGAAGGGATGGGCAGAGAAAAGGCTTCCCAGTGACTCATCTATTGGGCCTGAAATCCCTCTGAACCTTCAGGCTGGCCAGGGCAAAGCCCTTCAGGCCCAGTGACCAAATATTCCCCTGTGTCAGGGCCGCCCTTGGGCCCTTGGAGATGAATATGCCTGATGAAGTGTTTTCTGTCCTGCGAGGCGGGCCTGCCGGGCACACACAGCCCTCCGCTCAGATGTGCTTTCCGACCTGCACATTAGTCCAGCTTGGCTGAGCTCGGTTCCAAGGCAGGCTGGGCTGGTTTTCTCCTCCTTAAGACTCATCAGTGAGGTCAGCCAGCGGATAAGCTAAAGTTAACTTAGCTATTATTGCTTTTTTGTTAATGAGGGGAGGGCCAGCTACAAAAACGCCAAACCATTCAGAAAAGTTGTACAGCACTTGGGATTGAATATGCCAGAACAAATTCTGTGTTCAGGCAAAATAAAGCAATTGACAATGATTTAAGTCCTGACTGGACTCCCAAGGGTCCCTTGTGCTTCCCTGAGATTTCGTTTCATTATTTTTTAAAAAAAATATTTTTCTTATGAAGTTATGAATCTTGGAAGCTGTGTGAAGTGCGGGCGACCTCATTGGACTCATCAGAGTGGCAGGAGCCTTCTTTTGTGGATGGAAGCTTGGGCTGTAATTAAGCTCCGAGCGGGTGGAGGATGAGGCTTGGGGAAATTCTGTCCCTGAAACCCTAGGGTTGGCTATGGAGTGACAGCTGAATACCCATCCTACGGGACTACAGGGGTTGAGGGAAAAGGAGCAGGGATTGGCTTCTCTTGGACGACAGTTAATAGGAACAAACCAACTCCTTCTCAGAGACAAGATTCAGAAGCAGAGGCTGAATATCCTGGGTGTTCCTGAAACCAACAACACTTGACTTGTGTCTTAAAATTCCACAGCCCACTAGCATGTTCACAGATGCTGTTCAAAGTGACCTCCTTTGACAAAGAAGCAACGTGCCTGCAGGGTTGAAACCACTTGAAAAAAGTTTGTTAAAGTCGATGTACAAAAATGTTTAAAATGCTTTGAGGAAATGAGATCTGAGATGTTCCTGCTATGAAGTAGGCTGTGAACAAGTCAAATTGAAAGTGTGGAAGCGAGATGTGTCCATAGGCTGAGAGATCTAAGAGAAAGGTTCTTTTCAGCGTGACCCATATTTGCAACCTACCTACTGTGCACCAGTGCAGTGCTTGGCTCTGGGGGATAGAGATCTGCAGACCTGGATTTCATGCCTCAAGGAGTTTAGTTGGGGAAAGTCCTACTGTGGCCAGACCTAGCGTCAACAGCAGTGAGGGGGGAGGAATAGATTCTGATTAGGGAGTGCTTATAAAGCCCAAAGGAGCACCATTTGGGCTGAGCTTGAAGAGTTGGCCCACTACGATGCTTAGAGATGTGGGAGAAGAGTCTGGAAGGCCAGGAGACTGCCTAACGAAGGCAGGGGGGTGGGTGTGGGTGGCCTTCCTCAGGGTGTGGCTGCTGGGGAGGAGAAAAAGCAAGGGATGAGTAGGGAGCGGTGGCTGTTGCCAGGTTGTGGAGGCTTTGATAGGAGTTTGGACTTGATTCTGTAGCTATTAGGGACCCGTGGAAGGTTTTCGAGTACGGAAGTAACTTGCAAATATCGATTAATTTTTTAAATGGAAAACAAACATATAAATACATGCTCATTGAAAGATATTTCAGCTATATTAAAGTCTATGAAGCAAAAGATGAAAATGCTCCCCTTCCCAGAAGTAACCACTGCTTCCTTTCATGTTATGTCATCCATCTGTGTCTATGGGATCAGCACACAAAAGTCAACCCTAGAAGTGGGAAGGTAGATGGTTCTGCAGACCCGCTCTGTCGCTGTGTGTCACATACATGCCCCTACCTTTCCAATATTTAAAGCGATATATGAAATAGTACCATAATCTAGGGAAATGTGTCCTGTGTCTTCTCACTGGGCTTACGTTGCTCTCCATTGCTTTATTTCAGAACATGGTTTCATTGGATATTCACCCGAACTGCTACAGAACAACACGCTGCCCGATTACAGCCCGGGGGAATCTTTTTTCACTGTCTTTGGGGTTTTCTTCCCAGCGGCTACAGGTATTGTAATCTGGGTTCTTTTTTACTCTCAAATTAGGGGTATACATTCTTGGTTCCAAAATTCAGCATCATCATTGGCCTGCAGGTACTCTTGGTATGTATATCCAACTTTAGATATGGGCTTAGCTTTGACTAAAATTTTGTTATTTTATCTGTTTATGTATGTATTTTGTAGAGACAGGGTCTCACTATGTTGCCCAGGCTGGTCTTGAACCCCTGGCCTCAAACATAAAAATCTATTATTTTAACAGAGTTTACTGAAGGCCTTCGATATGATTTAATCCTCCTCACTCCTTATACATTGACACCTTTTGTTCATAGAAAGGATACATATCTCATAGGGCTGAACAGGACGGATTCCTCAGCAGGACAAGCCGCTCTTTCCACAGGTGGAATAAGTGCATACCTGGAATCGAAACTTCCCTTCCCCCTACCCGTACCAGCACATCTTCTCCCAGAGGGCAGAGAAACACTATTGTCTTTTGTTTTCTTGCTGTATCAGGTGTGAGCCAAACCAGTATCGCGGGGGTGAGGAATGAATCTCCTTACCCTCCCTTCCCCAAGTTCCTGCTCTGCAGTGACTGTAGAGGAGCCTCCCACAGCCAAGGTCCCTGTAGGGCTCCTGCCCCATGCTTGGGTCCCTGGCCTGGAAGGCAATAAGCTAACATGTTGACCAGATGCTCCATAAAAAATAACATTTGCTAGTGACTGGGCTTGTCCCCAGGGAACAGACTCTTAATGAAGAGAGAAAAGCATTTCACTCTTGATCAAGAGAGTATTGATGGCCAGAGGATATCTGTCTTGTCTCCTTGTCTCTCTCTCCTTTCCCTCTGCCCTCCTACATATGGCCATTTCCTTACTTGTTGTCCCCACCCCAAATGGGATAGGGACAGAAAAAGAAGGAGAAGCTACTAGAGTGTCTAAGATTGAGAAGATTGTCCATACAAGTGTTAGCAAGGATGTGGAGACACCAGAACCCTCATGCACTGCTGAAGGGAATGTAAAATGGTGCGGTGACTTTGGAAAAAAGTTTGACAGTTTCTTAAAAATTACATCCAGCTATTCCATGCCTAGTTATCTACTGCAGAGGATCAAAAGCCTGTGTTCATATGAAGATTTGTACATGAACTTCCAAGCAGCTTAAATTTTAATAGTCCCAAACTGGAAATAGCTTGAATGTTCATCAACAGGTGAGTGCATAAATAAACTATGATGTAGCCACACAATAGAAAACCACTCAATAATAAAAATAAATAACTGGTCAGGCGTGGTGGCTCATACCTGTAATCCTAGCACTTTGGGAGGCCAAGGCAGGTGGATCACCTCAGGTCAGGAGTTCAAGAACAGCCTGGACAACATGGTGAAACCCCATCTCTACTAAAAATATATATAAAAAAAAATTAGCCTGGCATGGTGGTGCATGCCTGTAGTTCCAGCTACTTAGGAGGCTGAGGCAGGAGAATCACTTGAACCTGGGAGGCAGAGGTTGCAGTGAGCTGAGATGGCGCCACTGCACTCCAGCCTGGGCGACAGAGCGAGACTGTGTCTCTAAACAAAGAAAAATAACTATCGATACACACAACAATATAGGTGAATCTCAAAATAATTATGCTGAGTAAAATAAGTCAGACCAAAAAAAAAGCAAATAAATATGATTGTATAAATTTCCATTTATATGCAGTTCTAGAAAATGCAATCTATAGTGACAGATGCCTGGGAATGGGAGTGAGAGGAGCACGAAGGAGGGATTACTAAAGTGCAGAAGGAAACTTTGGGGGGATGAAAAATATATTCCTGGCCTGGCGTGGTGGCTTGTGCCTATAATCCTAACACTTTGGGAGGCCAAGACAGGAGGATCCCTCAAGCTCAGGAGTTTGAGACCAGCCTGGGCAACATAGTGAGACCCTGTGGTCTCTACAAAACATGATTAAAAAGTTAGCTTTGGCCGGGCGCAGTGGCTCATGCCTACAATCTCAGAACTTTGGGAGGCTGAGGCAGCCGGATCACCTGAGGTCAGGAGTTTGAGACCAGCCTGGCCAACATGGTGAAACCCCATCTCTACTAAAAATACAAAAATTAGCTGGGCGTGGTGGCATGCACCTGTAGTCCCAGCAACTCGGGAGGCTGAGGCAGGAGAATCACTTGTAGTGATTCTCAGCTACTTAGGGGTGGGAGGTGGGTGACAGGAGGACTGCTTGATCCTGGGAGGTCAAGGCTACAGTGAGCTTTGGTCACGCCATGATACTCCAGCCTGAGTGACAGAGTGAGACCCTGTATCAAAAAAAAAATTGTGTGTGTGTGTGTGCGTGTGTGTGTGTGTGTGTATTCCTGATTATAGTGATGGTTTTATGGGTATATTCATATAGCAAAGCTTTTCAAGTTGTTACACTTTAAACATGTACATCTTATAGAATGTTAGTTATACCTCAATAAAGCTGTTAAAATGAAAAAGACAATAACTTTAATCATCTTTAATTGATTTTCCTCAATCCCACTTTTCCTTATAGCAATAGCCTTTCCCTCTCCTCTTCAAAGCCAAACAACATGGCTCCCCATGTCCATTCTTGTATCCCCTACTCAACTCTCCCAGTCTCTCCTTTGGGAATTGCAAGCCTGTCTCTGCAATGACATGGCTCTTTCACCAGTGACTTCCTTGTTACTAAATGCAGCGTGCATTTTTAGTCTCTCACTTTATTTAACTCTCAGCAACAACCCACTTCCCCTTGCATTTCTCTTGCCTTCCACGATGCAGGCTTCTCAGCTCCCTCCTACTCTCTGACTTGCCTTTATAGGTGCATCCCCTCCACCTGCCTGTCCAATGTTGGGGATCTTCAAGCTATTCCTAGGCCCTCACATCTCTTTCTCAACTATTTTCCTTGGAGTCTCATCCATGCTTATTGTTGAATAACCACCCTCAAAACTGGTGACTCCAAAATTTACACTTCCAGCCCAGACTTCTCTTCCAAGCTTCACATCATACATTCAGTTGTCCATGTGACATCTTCTCTTGGGTATCTTGGACCGAACAAGTTTGAACCAAACCCATCTCACCTACCCCTCAACTTGTCCTCCTCCTGTACTCCTGATGTCAGTAAATGGCACCTCCACCCAGCCAAATGCTTATGCCAGTGATCAGACCTCCCTCTTTCTTTCCAGTGCCCTCTAAGTCTTGTCAATTTTACCTCCTAAGAGTTGCTAGATTCTCTCTACTTCTCCTTATGTCTACCACCTGACCACTCTGGTCCCAGCTTCATCTATCACTTGTATCACTGTGTCAGCTTCCTGCCTGACTTTTCTTAAGGCTCGGCCATGGAAATGAGCCTGGAACTAGGGCTTGGAAGTGGCAGGTCGAATCCTGGTCTACAAATCCAGATTTGCCAGAAATAGTGCGTCGCTTTCATTTTTATAAAACAAAAAGAGTCAGTCTCCGACTCTAAGCCTTCATTCTGCCAGGATGGCTTAAAAGTAAGAGCAGTAATTCAGCATGCCTCCACCTGCTCCTGCCATGCTCTGCACCAGCTCCAGGGGCTTAGGGTTTTAAACAGTACCCAGACATGTTTGGGGGGCTCTGCAATTCCTTATCTGTAAACAGAACCAGGCCTTCCCATTGTCCTGTCCATAGGGCCTTTCAGGTTTGTGCTGCCTCTGAGCCACGTTCAAGGACTGGAAATCTGAGATTGGGAACCCTATGCTTAGGGTCTATGTACTCCCCAAACCTTTCCTTCTGGGGGTCTTACCGGCTCCCCACCAGTACTGCCAGGGAGTTGGCGGGGTGGGGGTTCCAGGTCCTCATTTCCCCAGAACCTGGGAACAGCCTCTCTCTCTCCCTGCCCCCGACTCCAGAACCAATCTTCTGTCAAATATGGGGACACTCCTGTCCAGGGCCAGCTTTCTGGGTGTGTGACCTATGCATTTACACTGTCCCCACCCTGAGAAGGGACTCATGCTTGTTTTAAGGCTTTGCTGTTACTAAAATTCTTGGGCCCGGCCTGGTGGCTCACGCCTGTAATCCCAGCACTTTGGGAGGATGACGTGGGCAGATCACTTGAGCCCGGGAGTTTGAGACCAGCCTGGCCAACATGGTGAAACCCCATCTCTACTAAAAATACAAAAATTAGCCAGGTGTGGTAGGGCATGCCTGTAATCCCAGCTACTCAGGGAGGCTGAGGCAGAAAAATCACTTGAACCTGGGAGGCAGAGATTGCAGTGCGCTGAAATCGTGCCACTGCACTCCAGCCTGGGTGACAGAGCAAGACTCTGTCTCAAAAAATAAAAAAAAAATCTTAATAATTTTTGATTCTGCATTTGTATTTTTATGTGGCCCCACAAACTGTGTGATAGTTTTTCTCCTTGTCGCCTCATGTTTTCCCCAGCGATTCTGCTGTTTCTTTTCTGTTTCCCTCCAAAATCTTCTAAGGACCTAGGCTTTTGAGAAACAGAAGCCAAAACAGTGCACAGGCAAATTCTGCTTCCTCTCTGCCTCTTGTCTCCCACAAGACAAGAGAATATAGGTCAGCTTCCTCCTGAATGGACAGAAAAGGAAAAGGGAAAAACAGAGGGAATTAAACAAAGTTAACATCTGATGATGTTTCCCAGCCTCTCTTCCTCTTTCCTTCCACACACAAATTGAAAACCATCTGAGTGTTCTCTGGAGCCTGGCAGTGTCCCCACTGAGTGAAGACCCCTGGGCCAAGATACCAGGTTAGCATTTACCCTAGAGGCAGGGCAGAAGGCCTCTTTGCCTGGTCACACTGTGCAGGGAATGTCTCGGGCGTCCTCAGGTGCACCAGGGGTTTGTCTTGGCAATGTGGCCCTGATGTGCCCCTCCACTCTGCTCCCACGGCTGGCTTTCCTAAGAGAGAGGATGCCTGGTGTGAGTGGGGGAAGGGGGCGGTGAGCCTCCCCTCCAGCTTCTCCCTCCAGGCAGGAGTTAGCAGCAGCCTGAGGCTTGAAGGTGCCACCCAGTAGCCCAGAGTATGAGCTGGACTCACATGTGAGATCAGCTAGTCCAACTCCCAAGCTTTTGTCTTTTTAATCCGTATTTCTTTTTCTTTTTCTTTTTCTTTTTCTTTTTTTTAAGACAGGGTCTCGCTCTGTCACCCAGGCTGGAGTGCAGTGGTGTGATCTCAGCTCACTACAACCTCTGCCTCTCTGGTTGAAGAGATTCTCGTGCTTCAGCTTCCTGAGTAGCTGGGATTACAACAGCATGCCACTATGCCTGGCTAATTTTTGTATTTTTAGTAGAGATGGAGTTTTGCCATGTTGTCCAGGGTGGTCTCGAACTCTTGACCTCAAGTGATCCACCCGCCTCGACCTCCCACCTCCAAAAGTGCTGGGATTAGAGGCATGAGCCACCATGCCTGGCCTATATTCACTTTTGATAATGATACTAAAAGCCTCACAGACACTGGACATTCTGGCTCAGAGATGGAGTGTCGTTGTCCTTCCGCTGAAAAAGCTATAGCTACCTAAGACGATGAGTCAAGATTTATTTTCTGTGATTTAAATTATGAGTATTATTTTGAAAGCTTTCAAATGTAAAATGATAATAGCGCATAGATTGTAACTACACAGGCCTCTCTGCCCCACCCCTCTTAGGGGACCTGCTTTCCTGTCCCTCTCACTCTCATTGGCCCAACTGAGGTGAAGAATCATTGATCTGATCCTTTATTTTACCAGCTGGGGAGGAGGGGTGCAGAGGAGCTTATGAAGGACCCGACAGAGGTCACGAAGCTGATTAGTGGCCAGAGTTGGGCCGTCACCCTGCTGTGGAGAGCTGCCCTCCGTGTCTCTGTCTCTGTTTTTCAGGGCCCCAATTGTAAACACAATAGGCAGGACGAATGGTTTGTATGACTTGCTGTCTCCTGGCAGATGTTCGGTTAAGCTATGAAAAGCATGGATGATTGGCAGTTTCCATGGTGATAGATTTGCTAAGGATTAGCTCCGAGTGAGTCATGGCTGGGGTTCCCTCCAACACCATCCTCTTCTGGAACAAGAGAACCTCCAGACTGTGGCGAGGAGAGAGTTTTGATGAACAAACCCTTCTGTCCCCAGCCCCCCATCCTCCTGACAGAGATATGATGGTTAAGTTACTTCAGATATTTTATCCCAAGGGCAGGCAGCTTCCTGGGAAGAGCGGCTGGAGATTCGGTCTGGTGCTCCTCTGGATTTAGGAAGCTGTCCCCCTGCCCCCTCACTGCACTCTTCTCCATTACACCCTGTGCTGGTGGCTGCAGGGGTGGAGTGGGGGGAGCTTGGAGTGGATGCTGTACTTGCTTTGCTTCTTAAAGTGCATTCCTTCTCAAAGTGCATTCCTTCTCCAAGCTCCACTACCAAACTTTCCCTGAGAAGCAGACATCTCCTCTCCAGGGTTTCACACATACCATGTGGATGCAGCCACTCCAGGGATCCAGGAACACGATTCACAGAGGAACTAGGAAATGGAAATTCACTGAAAAGAATATCAGTCATGTGAAGTCCTGTAACCCTTGTTCCCAGATTCTAAACTCTTACTGGAAGGGATAAGGGCCTCTTTGGCCACAGCCAACACATGGGCCTGTGGTTGACCACACCCAGCACGAAAAAATGTGGTAGGAAACCTACAGCCTTTACTGAAATGTCCACAGTCACCTTCCTTTTCAAGAACCCAGCTATTTCTGTGATGCCCTTTGACCTCCCTGGGCCTGACTCCTCTCTCCTGCTCATGTACACACCCTGGGAAGCTCTGGGAATTTGCTGGGCCCTCCAATTGGCTGGCTGTCTCCAGGCCCCTCAGCCCGGCTGTTAGTGCTCACCCCTCCTCTGGCCTACTTCCCCCATTCCCCCCTCCTAGGCGTCCCCTGGGTCTCCTCACAAGTTATGTGTCTTGTGAGTGAGAGGACAAGAACCTGCTGGATCAGAATGGGGTTCCCATGTTTAAGGACTAGAGAGCCCCAAGTAGGGACAGTCTGAAGATGGGGGCTCACTCCACTCCCTTCATTCTGATGGACTTATGGGCAGAAACAGGAGACAAGAAGGAAGCTTTGGCTGGGTGCAGTGGCTCAAGCCTGTAGTCCCAGCTACTCGGGAGGCTGAGGCAGGAAAATTGCTTGAACCTGGGAGGCAGAGGTTGCGGTGAGCCAAGATTGCATCACTGCACTCCAGCCTGGGTGTCAGAGTGAGACCCTGTCTTAAAAAAAAAAAAAAAAAAGGCCGGGCGCGGTGGCTCACGCCTGTAATCCCAGCACTTTGGGAGGCCGAGGCGGGCGGATCACGAGGTCAGGAGATCGAGACCATCCCGGCTAAAACGGTGAAACCCCGTCTCTACTAAAAATACAAAAAATTAGCCGGGCGTAGTGGCGGGCGCCTGTAGTCCCAGCTACTTGGGAGGCTGAGGCAGGAGAATGGCGTGAACCCGGGAGGCGGAGCTTGCAGTGAGCCGAGATCCCGCCACTGCACTCCAGCCTGGGCGACAGAGCGAGACTCCGTCTCAAAAAAAAAAAAAAATAAAAATAAGCTTAGGCCGGGCACGGTGGCTCATGCCTGTAATCCCAGCACTTTGGGAGGTTGGCGGGCAGATCACGAGGTCAAGAGATCAAGACCATCCTGGCCAACATGGTGAAACCCTGTCTCTACTAAAAATACAAAAATTAGCCAAGCATGGTACATGCCTGTAGTCCCAGCTACTCTGGAGGCTGAGGCAGGAGAATCACTTGAGCCCGGGAGGTGGAGGTTGCAGTGAGCCAAGATCACACCACTGCACTCCAATCTGGCGACAAAGTGATATTCCGTCTCAAAAAAAAAAGTTTTATAATTATTATACATGTCTATTTTTTGTAATTTTATTTATGGAATTAATTTATAATTGTTTTATCAAAATAATTATACATATCAACAGTTTTTATCAAAACAATTATAAATATCGACAATACTTATTATCATTACAATAACCTATTATGTCAGCCACTAAGCACTTTATGTATAGTTTTCTGTTTAAACTTCTCCACAGCCTGACTGGTTCCATCAGACACAGGGCTGCCATGAAGTGGTTGAAGCCTGGGCTTCAAGGTCCCTCACTTGCGTGAGCTCCTTCCAAAGCCTTGTTCCTAATTTTATATTCATAATTTTGTACTTTCAAAAAAATTTCAGGCCGCATGGAACCTAGATCCTCCCACAGGTTCTATTATTTACCCATTTTACAGATGAGGAAACAAAGATTTAGAGAGGTTATTTCCCCAACATCTCCCAGCCAGTAAGCGGTAAACCCCGTTGCTTCCCATAAAGAGAGAACACATAATGTTGGTGCCGCCCCTCATCCAGAAGCCAATAAATCTTGCCTGGGTCCTGGAGTTGGAAAGTTGCATTATTTGACACTGTCTGTCCCAGCAGCATCTCTAAAACATTGAGAGGGAGGGAAACTCACAAGTTTTGCTCCAAGAACAGAGCAAGACAGGTTTAGAGATTTCTGCAGGAACAGCTGAACAAACCAACCAACAAGCCAGGTATGGGAAAGGAATGGGGTTTGGAAATCAGAAGGAAGGTAAAGAGAGGCAGACCAGTCTTTAGGAATCTGAGGGATTTCTGAGTAAGGAGCAGAGCCCATCTCTCCTGGGTGAGCATTTATTTAGCACCTACAAGGTGCCAGCCACTGTGCTAGGTGCTTATGAATATCTGTTCCAACTTCACCACAGTCCTGCAAAGCAAACAGTATAATCCCCATTTACAGGTGAGGAAAGCAGGGCTCAGAGCCACATTGCCACCAAACAGTAATAGATCCCTTTTTTCAGTTAAAAAAAAAAAGGCAGCAGATGAGACTTGGGCACGTTAGTGCATGTGTAGTCTACCTTCATAAGAAAGAAAAATAAAGTTATGAACTTAGAAAACAGGCAGCAGAGAAACGATTAAGCTATAAATGGAAAGAAAAAGTTGAAGAGTTTCTGAGGACACAGATTTGGATTGAAAAGTCCCCAGGAGGAATCTTGGAAGTTCCTTGAGAAAGAGTAAGTAGTCCTTTATGAACTAACAGGAACCTGAAAAGCCTAGAAAAACTGTTGGGATTTTCTTTTCCTACTAATCTTCATTTTCAGGAACAGAAAAGGGAATTGGGGTGGGAAACGGGCTTGTGGTAATTGGTGATAAGTAAGGACTTTGATCAATGTGTGCCACTGGGTGATTCAGGGGGCAGGGAAGAAAAGAGATGACCTACCCACTTGCAAATGTTGGTAAGTGGTCATTGACATTTACACTGGTTATTTTACCCAAGGATATATTTTTGAGAGCTATAAGGGGTTGATTCATTTTCTGGCCCTCTATGTCTTCTGTGAGACCAGACACTGGAAGTAGGCGCTGACCCCAAGTCCCCTGTTCACCTGGTGCCATCCATCGAAACTGTAGGTGTGATGTCAATGTCTAGGTGGCTACGGATGCCACTCGAGGTGTAGCCTCATAAACCTAAGCTGGTCAAGTGATGGCTGACACCTTCAGACTTGCATATCAAAACTGAGACCATAAATATGTGCCTGAAGGCCCCAGGACTGGGGTGGAAGACCAAGCCAGAAGGCTTTCCCCATATTAAGGAAGCTGTTTACCTAAGTCACATGGTAACAGTGTGCAGACCAGACAGATCATCGTTGTGATGCAGGGAGAAAAAATGTTTTTGGGTAAAGCAATTAACTGCTTCCTGGAATTGGCGTTTAAAACCCAGAAATGCCATCAATCCAGCACTGTCTAGAGATTAGGAGCTGGTGATGCAAGTGCCTGTGGCGAAACCAATGCATCGCGCCGATTATAACTGATAAGCTCAGCCTTCTTGTGGGTATGTAACCCCACATTAATCATGCAATTACTATTTCAGAAGGGGAAATCTACAAAGAGCAGGGGTGTTAGGAAGAAATGGAGAGGCTATGTGATGTAGTGGAAACAACACTGACTTGGAATCAGGAAACTTGAGGGTTAGTGCTGGTTCTGTTAGCAATTAGCTTGGAACACTTGAATCAAATGGCTTCCCTTCTTTGGGCCTCCGTTGCCTCATCTGTGAAATAAAAGGTTGGAGTAGATGATCGCTAGGGTATCACCTAGATTTAAGAATCATGATTCTAAATAACTGTTTTATTTTTTATTTTTATTGTTTTTGAGACGGAGTCTTGCTCTGTCACCCAGGCTGAAGTGCAGTGGCGTGATCTTGGCTCATTGCAACCTACGCCTCCCAGATTCAAGCGATTTTCCTGCCTCAGCCTCCCAAGTAGCTGGGACTACAGGTGCGTGCCACCATGCCTGGCTAATTTTTTGTATTTTTAGTAGACGCGGGGTTTCACAATGTTGGTCAGGCTGGTCTCCAACTCCTGACCTCAGGTGATCCACCCACCTTAGCCTCCCAAAGTGCTGGGATTACAGGCATGAGCCACTCCATCCAGTCCTAAATAGCCAAATTTAAACAATTTTTGGAAGCCCGCCAAGAAAAGTGTCGAGACCAAATAGTAATTATAAAATGGGCACTGAGTGTTTCCCAAACTGTGCTCTGTGGAACTTTAATAATGAAGAAAGTTTTCATTTCTTTAAAAAAAAAAAAAAGGGTTCAATGCCAAATAAGTTTTGCGAAACTGTGTGCTGTATTTCTCTTCTTAGAGATGGACAATGAATATTAGCATATTATAGGCACTACAATAGCCCAGCACCGAAAACCTCTCTAATTAAGGTTTTCCCAACCTTATTTTCAATTGTGGAACTTTTTAAAAAATGTAATATTTGTAAAACACCTGGGCACTAATGCTCTGGGAAATAGTATTTGTTCTATTACGCCAACCCTAAATGTAACTCTAACCTTAATGATAGTGTTTTAAAATTGCACTGGATGCAAAAAGAAAGCAAACTAGAGAATTTCTGTGACACTTA
This sequence comes from Homo sapiens, assembly GCF_000001405.40. Lineage (NCBI taxonomy): Eukaryota > Metazoa > Chordata > Mammalia > Primates > Hominidae > Homo > Homo sapiens. Next base: position 125,124,799 of record NC_000003.12, on the reverse strand, counting down.
ACACAGACAGGAAAAAAATACTAAGTCAAAATAATTTTTCTAGCTCTAACTAGTGAATGAGACATTTATAATTCACCGAAGCTAGGGAACATTGCCCAAGAATTGTGTGGTAACACAGAGGTAGAATTTTGGAAATGACAGCCACAGTGTGTGAGCCCCTATAACAAATGTGCAGGCCAGGCACGGTGGCTCATGCCTGTAATCCCAGCACTTTGGAGGCCGAGGCAGTCAGATCACCTGATGTTAGGAGTTCGAGACCAGCCTGGCCAACATGGTGAAACCCCATCTCTACTAAAAATACAAAAATTAGCCAGACATGGTGGAAGGTGCCTATAATCCCAACTACTTGGGAGGCTGAGGCAGGAGAATCACTTGAACCCAGGAGGCGGAGGTTGCAGTGAGCCAAGATCACACTATTGCACTCCAGCTTGGGCGACAGAGGGAAACTCCATCTCAAAAAAAAAATCCAAACAAACAAACAAACACAAACAAATGTACACTTTGCTGTGGGAACCACCCACATTGCCCCAGCAGGAATCACCCGTGAGACTTCTTGTCTGCAGTCCGAGTTGCCTGCATCTCCTTGTTTCTGGCTCTTTGTGTCTGTGATATAATCTACTTTCTGGCTTCTCTGTTTTGTCTCAAAAGCCAAGTTTCTGGCCATATCTGGGCCTGGCTCATTCCTGTGTCACGGTCAGTCCTTTCTCCTCCCACTGAGCAGCATCCTAATGTACTGCACAACAGGCAGCCTACACAGAACCTGGGGGAGGAGTAAAGGGGGTTTGTTATGGAGACAGTAAGTGTTTGGAAGCAGGAAGCAATTAGGATGAATCAGTCATTTTCCTCCACAGAAGCATATATTGCTGTGGTGTTCTCAGGGGTCTTCATGGGTTAACTTCTGTATAAAAGATCTGAAGGAAGGTGTACAAAATGACCTGACAAACTGTAGGAGGTACAACAATGGCGAGGAATAAAGAGCACTATGTCATGATATGGTTTGGCTCTGTGTCCCCACTCAAATCTCACCTTGAATTGTAACAATTCCTATGTGTCGTGGGAGGAACCTGGTGGGAGGGAATTGAATCATGAGGGTGAGTCTCTTTCCCGTGCTGTTCCCATGGCAGTGAATAAGTCTCACGAGATCTGATGGTTTTATAAATAGGAGTTCCCCTACACAAGCTCTCTCTCGCCTGCTGCCATGCAAGACGTGACTTTGCTTCTCCTTCCCCTTCTGCCATGATTTGTGATGCCTCCTCAGCCATGTGGAACTGTGAGTCAATTAAAGCTGCCTTAGCCTCCTGAGTAGCTGGGATGTGTGTACCACCATGCCCGGATAACTTTTTTATTTTATGAAGAGATGCTGTGTGGTCCAAGCTGGTCTCAAACTTGTGGCCTGAAGGGATCCTTCTTTTTTTTTTTTTTTTTTTTCCTGAGATGGATCTCTGTCACCCAGGCTGGAGTGAGTGGCATGATATCCGCTCACTGCAACTTCTACCTCCTGGGCTCAAGTGATCCTCCCACCACAGCCTCCCAAGTAGCTGGGATTATAGGTGTGCACCACCACACCTGGCTACTTTTTGCATTTTTAGTAGAGATGGAGTTTCACCATGTTAGTCAGGCTGGTCTCGAACTCCTGACCTCAGATGATCTGCCTGCCTCGGCCTCCCAAAATGCTGGGATTAAAGGTGTGAGCCATTACACCCAGCCTCAAGTGATCCTTCTGCCTTGGCCTCCCAAAGCGCTGGGATTACAGGCATGAACCACCACACCTGGCCCTTAAATCTGTTGCATTTTTAATTTTAATGATCATATTTTTAATTTCCAAAAGTTCTTTGTTGTTCTTGGATTTTTTTTCATAGCACCTTGTTTTATAGATAGAATATTCTTCTTGGATGTACCTGGAGCTACTAATTAGTGTTTTCTTCCAAATTCTCTCTGTATCCTGATTTATGTTTCTTCCAGCCTGGGTTGTTCTGTTTCTATTTATGCGTGTATTTGTTTATTTGTTGCTGGTTTTCATCACACATTGGGTGATCTTGGTTGTGGGCATGGATTTCCCCAGCTGTCGCATGGTTAGGTCTGTCTCCCTGCTGGGGCCCTACCTTGATGAGAAGTTTGTGAGTGCTGTTGATTCTTGAGCAGGGCTTTATTTGGGGTGCAAACGTCCAGCCCTGGTTTTCCTCAGTGTATTGAGATCTTGTAGAGAAGCATTCCGAGGCTTTCTTTCCTTCTCTTTTCCTCGGTATTATATTCTCCATTTTCTATGTTCTATGTTCCAGACATTCATGGGAACCTTTCATCTACTTAGGGTCCTCCTCCCAACTTCTCTTTGCTTATGGGAATTTATCTACTTTTCCCCTTTACTATGCTCTTAATAGGATCTTGGAGAGGAGGGAATGAGAGGAAAGAAAATGTGCCTAACAGGCCGTTAAAAACAAAAACAAAAACAACAACAACAAAACCTTAAAAGTTTTCACGTTTCAAAATGATCATTGTAGAAAATTGAGAAAATATAAACAGTCAAATAAAAATGACCTGTTCTTTTATCACCCAGAAATAACATTGTTAATGTTTTAAAACATGTTCCAGTTCCTTTTTCTATATATTTTTATAATAATGGGATCATACCATGTGTTCTGTTTTCTAATATGCGTCTTAAAACTAAGCAAAAGCTTCTAAACATCTTTCCATGTCACAACATATCCCTTACAATATTCTGAGACCTAGTATTTATTGAAAGCTATATCATCACTTATTTAACCAACCCTCTATTTTTAGACATTAGGTTGTTTCTAATTTCCACTATTCTAAACAAGCGTTTATAAACACGCTGGGCTAAATCTTCCCTCATAGCCTTGACTACCTACGATGGGTAAAGTCCTCATAGTGGAGTTGCTGGGTGACAGTATATGCACCCCATCCGCGGGCCAGCATTCAGGGTTCTCTCTGAAATACACCCCCCTACTTTCACTTTCTGGTTCCAAACTGTCACTTCACTGCACTTCGCTTGGATTCTGTGAAGCATTGTAGCAGAGGCATTAAGAGCATAATTTTCAGAGTCAGACAGACCAGGGTTGAATCTTAGCTTTGCTGCTTATTAAATGTGTGACCTTAGGCTGTTTTAATTAACCTCTTTGAACACTTTTCCATAAGATGAGGAAATAATTCTACCTTTCTGATGAGGTTGTTATGAGAATTAAACAGGATAAAAAAATGCATGTAAAGCACTTGACACAGGCCCAGGCAGTTTGAAAGTGTTCACAAATCATGGAGTTAGATTCATTCCCATCCCTAAGCCCATTCAAATCCCTCTTTCAAGGCCACATTCAAGATACAACCCCCTCCACGGGTCTTTCCTGACCAGGGCAGCCCATCACACTGAGTTGTTATGGCACTTGTGGGCTGGATCCTCATCCGATGTTCAGAACACCCTGTCTTGTTGCTTTCATATATTTGTTTGTATGGGAAGAGGCAACATCCCCACTTCACCATGCAGCACTGTGCTGTGGGTCCCTCATGGATTAATTCATTTTCATTAGTGTTCTTGCAGAAGAGAGGTGATGATGAAAAGGAGCTTGTGACTCCATGTCAGTGGCATCAGGATTGGTTTTTTTGGAGTTTATTTCAAGCCCTTTGGTAGCTCAGGGGCTTGGAGGATGGTACCTGACCCCGAGGACACAGGAAGCTCCCATGGAATCAGCAGGCAGCAGAGGCAGGGAAAGCTGCTGAGCAGGAGGCTGCCAGACCTTTGTAATGCTGAGCCTCTCCAGGGCATTGTCCCAGCTCAGCAGGCAGCGCAGGACCTCTGTGTGCCTTGCAAGCCGCTTTCCTCCCCCCTGGTTGCTTTGCGCTGAGCGGTAGGATGCTTTTGGAGCTGGGAGGGCTTTCCTCCTGAGCCTCCTCCAACCCACAAAGGTGCCTTTCACGCCACAGGGATGCCTCCCTAGTTGCCAGGGGAGATTGAAAAGCAGCCTATGCGCAGAGCTGCAGCTGGAGGGCTTGCGGTGGGACAGCTTCCAGGAGAGGGTCCCGCAGGAGAGGAAGGGGCAGCCCTGGGGAAGGCGATGCGTGGAGGAGGCTGCTCACCCCATTCCCCATCTGGGTGTCTTTCAGGAGTCATGGCCGGCTTCAACATGGGGGGCGACCTCAGGGAGCCTGCCGCCAGCATTCCCCTGGGCTCCCTGGCAGCTGTTGGCATCTCGTAAGTTCCCCTCATGGCAATCAGTCTGAGCTAGAGAGTGGGAGAGAAAACCCCAGGCAGAAGAGGGATTGCCCCTTTTGTTCTGAGAGTGCCCCGACTGTGACCAATCTATTTCATATTCCGATCCTTCTTTTAACACTCGGTGGGCTGGAAAATTCACGTCTGGTGGGTTCAGACACTGCCCTTTCATGCGCCCTGCCTGGGAATGCTGCCGAGGAGGAGTGTCGGGACCCAGATCACAGATCGAATCCTTTCTTTCCTTTCCTCGGCCTCCCGCCCCCGTCCCTCCCCCACCCCCATTTTGAACTTGGGGATTTTTTTAACCACCGAGTTTCCAGGATCACTGGAGGGAGCATAAAGATGAAGAGTTTTGCAATCAGACGAATTGGGGCTGCATCTCAGCTCTGCCGCTGATTGGCTGCATGACTCTGGACAATTTACTGAGTTCTCTGAGCCTCCATTTCCTTTCTTGTGAAATGGGGATAATGACACTGTATGTGCTTCCTAGATTGCGGCGGGGAGAGAAGGCACACAGTGGAAGCTCAGCACCCAGCTCTTCTTCTTCCCCCAGTGAGCCTCCCCTCCAGCTCCCCCAGGCCGTCAGGCCTCTGGGGTTTTAGTTCACACTGTGCCACCCACACAAGCAGGCTGGGTAACCTTGGGTCTATTTCTGACCTTTTAGAATATTGTTTCTCTCTGTACCACAGGAAGAAGCTTCTCTGCCCTTCATTGGGTAGGTGTGAAGAGGCAAAGAGATCAGAGACCAGAAACAATGACTTGAGAAGTTAAAAGGGCCTGTGTTATTCTAACCACAGTATTTAGAAAATATTAATGTATCTGTTTCACAAACACTGAATTTGTTCTTAGCTTACTGCAGTGAAACCATTGCTATCAGCCTGGCGTACAGCATCAGGGTATTTTGTGCAATAACATTGGGAAGAAAATGAAGACAACAGAGATAGAGTTGAGTGTTGGGAAGGAAATAAAAGAAAGAGGCTTCTGAATGAGGACCCTGTCTTGTTTCTGGCCCCAGCTGGGAGGTTCCAGGAGGAACCCTTGGCCCATCCTCTGATTACCCAGATGGGAATGAGGAGACCACAGGAACCTGGGTCTTGTTCAAGGTTACAGGGCATCTTGGGGACAGAGCCAGGCCTCTGCTCTCTGCCTTTTGACTTTAGTTTCCCTCTTTATTATCTGATCCAAAGATAACAGACCAGCAGGACTTAGAGGCCCGAAGGATCATCAGCTTGTTCTTTTGCTGGAGGAGGCTGGGGTGTGAGGCTGCGGGGCAACCCTGGCCTGAATCCTGGCAACCTAGAGGCAACTGGGCCTCCCACTTCCCTACTCGGAATGCCCTTTGTATGTTTTTCTTTTTTAATATAAGAAAGAGAAAAAAAACTGCTCACTTCAGCAGTACATACACTAAAATTAAAACAATACAGAGATTAGCATGGCCCATGTGCAAGGATGACATGCAAATTCGTGAAGTGTTCCATATTTTTATATATATTTAAAAGTAAAAAAAGAAACAAAACAATGGTACCCCTTTTTTGGTAAGAAATATGCCAGAAGAGAAATAGTACAAAAAGTGTCCTCCCAAGCCAGCTGGGGAAGCTTCATGACTGGCCTTTCTCTCATTCTGATACAAGTTCCCTTTGGAAACAGAAGGTTGAGTGAGGGAATTGGATGGGGCTGGGTGAGGTGAGTCGGGGGCAGCTCTGTTCTGCTCTTGGGTTTTGCAGGTGGTTTCTGTACATCATCTTCGTCTTCCTCCTGGGCGCCATCTGCACTCGAGAGGCCCTTCGCTATGACTTCCTGATAGCGGAAAAGGTGAGTGAGGCCTGCGCTACTCCAAGGGCTCAGTCTGCCGGAGTCATTTATTTGTTCTCACCAACAAATGGCCACCTTCCCCTTGCAGTACTGTCTGGGAATCCATATAGTCTTTTTAAAATTTAATTAATTTATTTTTTGAGACAGGGTCTCACTCTGTTGCCTAGGCTGGAGTGCAGTGTTGCAATCTCAGCCCACTGTAGCCTCAACCTTCCAGGCTCAAGCAATTCTCCTGTCTCAGACCGCCAGGTAGCTGGGACTACAGGGGCATGCCCTCATGCTGGGCTAATTTTTTTTTTAATTTTTTGGTAGAGATGAGGTCTCACCATGTTGCCCAGGCTGGTCTTAAACTCCTGGCCTCAAGTGATCCTCCCACCTTGACCTCCCAAAGTGCTGAGATTACAGGCGTGAGCCACCACGCCCAGCCTTCATATAGTCTCTAGCCCAGGACTGAAGTGTTGGGTTGTGGTGGGGAAGAGACATGATGGAAAAGGTACAGGCCCTGCTTAGGGATTTCTAGAAACAGATAATGATGCCCAGAGGGATTCACAAATATGAGGGGCTAGATAATGGGGACATCTCTTCCTGTCAAAAATCAGGACAGAAACAGAAGAATCTGCTCACCCCAAATTCCCAGTTAAGCAAGTGCCTCACTTTTGCTAATAGCTTCACCTTCCACAATGAATCAAATGTGCTGCTCAGAAGTGGCAAGTGGAGAAGGAGGCTGGACAGGCAGACGTGGAGGGAGCGGGCGGAAGCCCAGTGCCAGGGTGAGGGCCGAGGCCCTCCTTGTCCCTCAGGTCCTTGACCCCTTTGGCTTTCCTGAGAGTCTCAGACATTCTGGGTTGATTTGGCTGCAACATCTTTGTTTCTAGAGTCTGCACCCTGCCAGGAGAAGATTAATGAATTCCTGGCATTGGCTGGAGGTCATCTGACATCAAGGACATTTATTTGGCATCCTAGAAGCCACATGAATAAGATTTCCAGATATTTTTCTGGAAATCCCCAAAAACTCCCACCCTCCTTTAAGTTCTTGGAGAAAAAGTAGACCCTGAGATTCCCATCATTTTTCAGAGAAATGTAGTTGGTTAGGGAGTTTTTCTGTGAACTCCTGAGTATCACTGCTTATATTTTATGTATTTTAAATTTTAATATTTTAATTTTAACTTTTTAAAGACAGGGTCTCACTCTGTCACCCAGGCTAGAGTACAGTGACGTGAACATGGCTCATTACAGCCTCAACTTCCAGGGCTCAGGTGATTCTCCCACCTCAGCCTCCCAAGTAGCCAGGACTACAGACATGCACCACCACACCCAGCTATTTTTTTTTTTTTTTCAATTTTTTGTAGAGACGGGGTTTCGCCATGTTGCTCAGGCTGGTCTCAAACTCCTGGCTTTGAGTGATCCTCCCACCTCAGCCTTCCAAAGTGCTGGGATTACAGGCATGAGCCCCTATATTTTAGGATAGACTACCATTTTCTCTTGGTGTGAGGCTTTGCAAAGCAGCCCTGCTGGTCTTAATGGAGGGCCAGTGCCTGGGGCAACCTGGGGCAGGAAACTCTGAATTTTCTTTTGAGAGATATGTTTGAGCTTGGTTTTCACATTAGCACAGGTTTCTTTTTAAGGCTTGTAGGCACCCATGCAAAGGTGATTATTTGTTTTCAAGGGTCTTGCCCTTAGTATAAAAGCAGATTTTTTGGAAGGCAGTACAGTTCAGTTAGTGAGAGAACTGATACCCACTTTCCAGTACCCAAGGTCACAGACCCCCAGGTGGCAAGGTTTGCTCTCAGGGCAGGAATCTATAGCCCTCATTTGTATCTACATGCATGCTTCCGTCTGAAGTTTCACTCCCAAGGGCCTGTTCTCTAGTTGTGGAATGAAAAGCTTGGCTGCATTACAGGAATTGAAGGCCTCAGGGAGCAGACTGGGTGAGGCTGGTTTGACCGAGGGAAATGCTTCCTGCTCATCTGCAGCTTGCCAGTGGCTGACCAGCTCTGCCTGCTTCTAAAGTTCCTTTCTCATGCTTTCCTTCACAGAGGTCCTTCCACCCTTTAGGGACTCTGATCTGATTATCCCCTGGGCCGCAGCTCTCCTCCCTCCTCTCCTTCCCCTGTTTTTCAAGGGAATGATCAGAGTAGGTATATGGGAGGGCAGGCAGCTTTGTATCTAAGGAAGGCCACAAACAGCAGTAGGGTAAAAACAGCCCAGAGACAGCACATGAGAGCCTTTGTGGGTGGAAATCCCACACCTAATGATAGGCACACAAACCGGGGGAGCCTCCTGTGGAATGCCACCTGTCCCGACAATGAGCAGGTAGGCAAGCACTTAGCCAGCTGGGGGCACCTGCTTCATCAGGCCCAGCAATGACACTTGGGAATGTAATTATGCACACACTGGGATGAAATGTGGAGATTTAGTTTTCGGAGAGGACAAGAGACCATTCCCTGGAAGAGACCATTGTAAAGCCTATAAAGGAACAAAGCTACTGCTCTTGGTTCTCAGTAGAAATGGGCAGGTGCAGCAAGTCAGTAAGCAGTGATGGAACCGACCCTGATGACTTCAAAATAGCAGCACCTGGGTCTTCTGGTTCCCACTACCCACCCCCTAAAGGGGACCACACAGGAGTTTCCTCCCACACCTTTTCTGCTTTCCTGCTCACTGGTGTCGCTCCTTGGGACTGACTCCGCTGCAGTAGCAGGTACCGTGCTCAGGCAGTAGATTGGGCCACAGATGTTTTTACTGGCAGTACCTGGAGAATGGGAGGGTGCAACCTACACTGGTTGGGAGGTGCAAGGGCGGAGTTTCTTTACTTTGGTCACTTGACACAACCGGCCACCCTGATAACCTGTTCACCTCAGCTTCCTGTCTTACTTGTGGCTTCAGTTCTGAGCCGGCGCATCTCTGAGCTTTCCTGGGCCTGAAAAAAGGCCTCTTCTGTATGTGTGCCCCGCGCATCACCTCTGGACACTGAGACAGGGTGGGTCTCTGACATACTCTCCTTGGCGCTCGTTCACAAGCAGCTCCCAAATGCACTCCTCTCTCTCGGGGGCTTTCTGCCAGAACAATTATCTTCAATGGCTGCAGGCTGCCCTGGATTCCTTTCTACTGATCTGCAGCTGGTCAGTTAATCTGTTTCTTTCTGGGTTTCCTGCAGCTTCTCTGATCTATTTCTAATTATTTGGCTTCTCAACTCACAGTTTCTCTAAGAAGCGTCTTTTTACTTTTTTTTTTTGTTTGTTTTTCTTGAGATGGAGTTTTGCTCTTGTTGCCCAAGCTGGAGTGCAATGGCATGATCTCAGCTCACTGCAACCTCCACCTCCCAGGTTCAAGTGATTCTCCTGCTTCAGCCCCCCAAGTAGCTGGGATTACAGGCACATGCCACCATGCCTGGCTAATTTTTTGTATTTTTAGTAGAAACGGGGTTTCACCATGTTAGCCAGGCTGGTCTCGAACTCCTGACCTCAGGTGATCCACCCGCCTCAGTCTCCCAAAGTGCTGGGATTACAGGGATGAGCTACTGCGCCCGGCGACGTCTTTTTACTTTTTATCCCCACTGCAGAGGAACTTTCTCCCAGCTCTCAGGTGTATGTGTGTTCTTAAACATCTTGTATACAGTGGTGGCTCTGAGATAACCCATGAAAGCATGTAGTAGGTGCTAATTATAATACATTTTACCTGGCACATAGCAGATGCTAACTAAATTTTAACTCCCTTCCACACTCCTTATGGGCATACCCTTACAGATCAAGACATTTATTTTAGGAACACATTTTCTCCCCACAAATCCACCATATTTAATAGAAAAGCCAGAACAGTCAATCTCAGTATTATTTAGTTAGAAAAGGAATTGTATAAACAGTGTTAGTTGGGGTGAAATTAAATAGATTAAATGTTTCAGAATAAACTCGTATACAGTCCAGGAAACAGATGTTTATTACAAATAAAAAAGGCCAAATACCTTAGGAGCCCTGGGGCTTGCTAACTAGCAAAATAAGAGCAATCTAAGAAGGAAAAATATCCCAAAAGTATTATTGTTAAGACTAGGGAATCTGGGTGGTTCATGCCTGTAATCCCAGCACTTTGGGAGGGCGTGGCGGGCAGATCACTTGAGGTCAGGAGTTCAAGACCAGCCTGGCCAACACAGTGAAACCCCCATCTCCACCAAAAAATACAAAAATATGCCAGGCGTGGTGGTGCATGCCTGTAGTTCCAGCTACTCGAGAGGCTGAGGCAAGAGAATCGCTAGAACCCAGGAGGCGGAGGTTGCAGTGAGCCAAGATCGTGCCACTGCACTCCAGCCTGGGCAACAGTGCGAAACTCTGTCTCAAAAATACAAAACCCCCCTAAAACTGGGTAATCCCACAGAGCAAACTCTGATTCCTGGATTTAATAGTCATGGTTTCACATATTCAAGAGGGACCTTGGAAGCTCATGACACAAGCTGTACAGGGAAGATGGGGATGGGACAGCGCTGGTAACTGGGGAGTGAGCCTAGTGGGCCACTCAGCACCTGGGAGTGGGCCAGCCTGAGTGTCCTCTGCCCTCCATCGTGGACACAGTCCTGCCTCTCAGGAAGGGAAGCAGACTAGGTCTCATTATGGAAAATGGCTCTCAAGTGAGAGGTAAAACTTGACTGAAAGTTGAGATGTTGATCAATTCATGGAGCGTGGAGATGTTAGGAAACTCATGACTCTAGAAATGAGATGTGGGAGGAAAAAAAGCGTTGTTGAGACTCGGCCTTATTAATACACTTGGGATTGTAAAGGTTTTTAGGGTGCACTCCCCAGTTATGTCAGGGGTCACCGCAATTAGATGAGACAGAATGAGCGCCTTGCAAATGACTTTAAATCCAGTCCTTTGAGAGAAGAGAGCAGCCAATGAATGAGCAGAGTCCCTCAATGACCGAAGCTCAAGTGGGAGCTGGGAGAAAATACTAAGAGCAGAGAGATGGAAGTAATTATTTTCATCAGTAGTTACTGAAGAAAGAAATCAGGGTAGCTCACACCCCATGTAATATTTTGGAAAGAGCTCTGGGGGTGGGGGGATGGCTCAAACAGGTGTATGCCAGAAAAGAATCACTGTTTATTTAAAAAGAGCTGTTGACACACCTCTGCTCAAATAAATTCTCACTTCCACCTCCACTGGCACATTTAGCAAATTTTCAGTCTGATATGAATAGAGAAAACAATTAAGTTCTGTGAGGGCTGGGAGCAGAGCTACGTGTCTATAAGCCTTGCTCTGCCTAGCACCATGCCAGGAACATAATCTGTCGTCAGGAAATGCTTCCTGAATGGATGGATGGATGGATGGATGACAAATGACAGAAAGAGATAGGATTTAGGCAGGAGAGAGATGGAATGAAGTTTTTATAATTTATCTAGATGTGGAGACCAACATTTCATATATTACTCAGAAAATAGACTGAATAATAGTTTTATATTTTTTTAAAGTGGTAAGTGAACAGATCATTCTACACAATTGACAAACTGGACATAGGTTGCTATACTTGGCCCTGTCTGACCCCAGCTCCTAGGGCTCTGGAGGAATCCCAGGGTGTGTCTGTGGGAAGGCTGGCCAAAGATGGAAGCCACCATATCGTGTACTCATGGTGCCAGAGGCTCAACCCAGTTCCTGAGGTCAGTCCAACACTAGGAGGATGCCAGGCTGGGGCATTCCCACTCATTCCTGCTGTGAGTAAATAGGCTTTAAATGAAAAAGAGTTGTAAAAATTCAAATATACATAACCTTTTAGGTAAGAAGCAGTGAAATTTCTGCAAGGAGATGCCATGCCTGACTCTCCCAAAGAATTTTTTGAGGGGAGAATGCAGTGGCTACAATGTGTTGTGCCCAGGGGTTCTCCACATCGGCTGCACATTAGAATCACCTGGAGGGCTTTCTTAAACTCAACCACGTCTGTGTCTCACTCTACACTAATTAAATCAGAATCTCTGGGTGATTCTTATGTTTAGGCAGAGTGGAGAACTATTGACTTAAATTTTCAAAAGGCTCTTTCTTGATAAAATTTCATCATAGAATCTGGTTTTTAAAAACCAGTCAACATAGGCTGCATTTGGTAGAGAAGACGGAAATAAAGGTTATCGATGAATGATCACATCTCAGAATGGATTGAGGATTGATAATGGATCCAGCTTATCTAACAGTTTTGTAAGGCACCTAGGGCACGATTACAGCAAAGTCATGAAGCTGCATGAATTCAGCTGTTGAGCTCTGCTTGCCAGATTCTGCATGAGGTGCTGGGGGAAGGGGGCCAGGAAGCATGATACAATTCTACCTGTGAGGTGCTCAGGGTGCTGGCAGGATAAGCCATGAGCATAACTAACTATCCCACAGGATGGAAAGTAACAAAATGCCATCAGATCACATAAAGTGATGGAAACACTAGATGACATTGATTTCCTGTAGTAATAAAATGGTGAGTGGGGTGGGCAGGACAAACCCAAGAAATCTGCGATATTGAAAAAAGAGACAGGTGAGATTCTTTGGGGATAAGCATGAGATGATAAAGAAAGGAATCAACAGTGAATTAAAGACAAGGTGGGCTCCGTAGTGGACCTTAGTCTTGTTCATCAAGCATCTGACCTTCCTGACCATTTGGGGGTTATTCCACCAATGGTCTTGAAGGGAGAGAGTACCCCCATTGTGTGTAATAGAAACCCAATGGACCAGACCTCTTTTGCCTGTCCCTTTGCAGCCCTGGTAGGGCACATGACCTACACTAGGCCATTGCGTGCTCCCATTGTAACCAATGAAGTAAAGATAAAGAGCTGGTGAGAATCCATCCACAGGGCAGCAGGGGTGTTGGCAGCATCCTGGCCAAGCTGTTCCTGGGGAAGAGGCTGGGTGTGCCTCCAGGCTTGGTCCTGCCCTTTTCTGAGCCTCATCCTTTAGCCTCCTGATGATTCTACAAACCACCAGTGTCCTACAAATATATTCTTTTTTAAAGAAATTTTTTTTTTCCAATCAACTGTCCTGACTGATTCATCCATCAGTCAAATTATTCCAGTGATAATTTATGAGCCAGGAAAGAAGTCTAGCCAGTGGCTTGTGTTCAATGTAGCTTGGTGACACGAATCCGGTGCTTTGCTGATGCAAGGAAGTAAAAAATGGGGTGAGGAGAGCCTTCATCAAGAAGGGTGTAAGTGACAAAGCTGAATATTAACTCTAACCTATCTGTAAGCATTGGACGCATGAGTACTTGGAATGTACAGTTCTGGCCATTGTGCCTAAAGGAAAGTAGAATGGAAAGGGCACCTCAAATAAGAAAACAAAGATGCTTTCCTGTGGGTACAGATGAGATCTGGCCCAGGAGGGTGAATTCATGAGTGACAGCTTGGGATCTGGCTGTGCATGGCAAGCAGTCATGCAGCCACCCAGCCCCTTAGCACTTTTAGCCCTGAGTTAGCTAGTAACATCTTGGACCCTGATCTTTTGCAAGTTGACACCAAGAAGAACAGCTGTGCCCTCTTATTCTATCTGTTGGTGCCTTGTGGGTCATGGATCTCATTCATTCATTCGTCATTTATATTTCTGTGTTGGGCACCAAGAATTCTAGGGTAAACAAGACAGAAGGCCTGCTTAAATGAAGCCTCCAGATTAGTGGAGGGGGCACCACGATAGGTGCTATCCTAACATCATGTTGGGGATGCTATGGAGCACTGAGAAGCAACTACTGTAGTCAGGGAAGAGGGGATGGCCTCACAGTGGAGGTGAGGTTGGTGCTGAGTTTTGTAGCACAATTAGGAGTTTAACAGACAATGAGTAGATTAGGGCGTGTGAACAGAGGCTTCCTACAGACAGAAAAATCATGCTGATCAGACTTTCAGTGTGCAGGGTGTGGAGCTAAAGAGGTCACAGACCATGAAGAGCCTTATATGTCAGGACAGGGGGAGATTTTGATATATCTGCAACGGAGACATTGTGGTCAGATTTGAGTTTAGAGAACAGAGGCTTAGGGGATGATTCAGAGTGAATCATCTGAAGATTTAAACTCATCTTTAAGGGTGAGCTTAAAGGCAAGAGGCCAATGAGCATTGTGGTTGGCCAGTTTGTTCTCAAAGTGTGGTCTCTGGGAACGCATGCGGAATCCAGATTTCTAGGCCCCACCCCAAGCCTACTGAACCAGGAACTCTGAGGAGGGGCCCAGAAGTTTGTGTTTAGCAAGCCCTGCAGCTGAGTCTGGCAGACGCTTCATTTGAGGACCACTGTGCAATCCATATGAAATGTGGTGGTGGATTCAGCTGAAACCATGGAATGAATGGGGGCGAGGCTGGGGATGTGGAAACTGTATCCCAGGGATCAGATCTAGACGACTCAGTGGATGATTGCATGGGGTGCAGGTGGGTGGGTGCTGGGGGGGTAGAAAGGCACAGGAGCAGGTTCTGGCACTGGCGAATGAAACCGCTTCTCACACAGGTATCCCTCATGGGCTTCCTGTTCCTTTTGGGCTTATACATCTCGTCCCTGGCTTCCTGCATGGGAGGACTTTATGGAGCTCCCCGCATCCTGCAGTGCATTGCCCAGGAGAAAGTGATCCCTGCACTTGCCTGTCTGGGACAAGGGGTGAGTAATCCTCTTTTTTTGGTTTGTTTTTTGAAACATGTTTTGCTGCTAACCTCACTGTTGGCCCATCAATTGGTTAAGCTTTTCTGATCAGAGCCTCTGGTCAATTTCTTTGGGGTGACACAGAAAATAATGCAGAGGTCATTTCTTTCAGCCCTGTCCTCTGGCTGGCTTAGGTTAGGGCTAAGTAGATGAAGCATCTTAAATGTCCCAGCCACCCAGCCCCTTAGCACTTTTAGGACTGGGTTAGCTAACCAGTCCTAGTACCATCTTGGACCCTGAGCAGCATGAAAATGCAGTGCCCCATCCTTTAATGAAAATGAATTCAGGATCCTCCAGGTTTAGCATAGAAGAAAGCGTGTTTTGGTCAGGAGGCGAGCTGGTCCTTGCAGCTCTAACTCTGCCCTTGAGTTTCAACCGCCCCTTGGGGGTTGCTGTTTGATGATTTCCTACACCTCTGGCGTCTACACTTCCTGTTAACCATCATGAACCAAACCTTAACTGATACATAAAGGGCAGCTCAGTTGAGACATGGCTGGAATGATTAAAATAGACATTCCTAAAGTCCAGGGGAGGACCAAAGAGACATAAACAGAGAATCCCATTTCCCACTAATATGGTTTGCAAGCTAGAGTTCATTTTTGTCTTGTTGGGGTACCCCAGAGGGCCTCCCCAGCCGCTTCCAATTTTCAGCCTCTCTCTGGTTTAGGGAACACATCGTTGCAACTTATCCTTGATTTCTTCCTTTATCTTCCTCCAAAAATGCAGTTTGGTTTTGGACATAGTCCGTTTGAGATCCTATTAGACGTTCACTGGAAATGTTGAGTAGGCAGTTGGATATGTAAACCTGGGTTTCAGGGGAATGTTTTAGGCTGGAGATTCAAATTTGGAAGTTGTCAGTATAATGCCGGTATTCAAAGCCGTGAGCCTAGTTGAGCTCACCAAGGGAGGGAGTACAGATAGAGATCTGAGGATGGAGCCTGGGGCTGCTTTAAATGTGGAGTTCAGAGACGTGAAAAGCCAGCCACAGAAACCAAGAAGGAGCAGCCAGTGAAGAGGGAGGCCAATCAGGAGAAGTAAGGTGAAGAAAGTGTTTCGAAGAGGACTGAGTAGCCAGCTGGGTTAAAGAAGACAGGGACTGAGAAGTGACTGTTGCTTTTGGCCCAAGAACTATGTCAGTGACTGTGATGAAGAGCTCCCAGGAGAGGCAGCTAGCACCTTTTTTCCACTCCTGTCCACCTGAAGGTCACCATACCCACCTCCATTAATAACAGGTGTGTGTAATGTGTGTGTGTGAGTATTTGCGGATACTCAGTGTCAGAATTAGTGTCAGAATTCCCCTCCTCCAGCCACCAGTGATTCTGCTGTGTCTTCCGCAATCTGCCTCTCCCTGGGAAGAATCAACTTTGCATTTCTTTGATTTTCTATGCTGGTATTAAAACCCAATGAAAGACAAAAGGAGGAAATATTTGGGAAGTCAAAGTTCTATAATAATGCCCCATGTTCATAGTTATTCCTATGGCTGGGCACAGTGGCTCATGCCTGTAATCCTAACACTCTGGTAGGCCAAGGTGGGCAGATTGCTTGAGGCCAGGAGTTTGTGACTGGCCTGGGCAACATAGCAAAACCACGTCTCTACAAGAAATACAAAAATTAGCCATGCATGGTGGTGTGCACCTGTAGTCCCAGCTATTCAGGATGCTGAGGTGGGAGGATGGCTTAAGCCCAAGAGGCGGAGGTTGCAATGAGCTGAGATCACATCACTGCAGTCCAGCCTGGGCAACAGAGCCAGACCCGGTCTCAAAAAAAGAAAAAAAAAAAAAAGTTGCTAATGCAACTAATATCTGTGGAGCTTACTGCATGTCAGTCTGTGTGAAGCATTTCGCATGCATGAACTAATCCCATGAGTAGGATATTATTATCTCAAGTTTATAGATGAATAATCACATGGGGAGAAGTGGCTGAGTCATTATGAGTTGTGTTTCTAGCCTGTAACTTCTGAAATCTCTGAAGCGTTCTATCTGAAATTTTATGGTCCTGCATGTTATTTTTGTTCCTGCAGAAGGGGCCAAACAAAACACCCGTGGCTGCCATCTGCCTGACCAGCTTGGTGACCATGGCCTTTGTTTTTGTGGGTCAAGTGAACGTTCTGGCCCCCATCGTCACCATCAACTTCATGCTGACATACGTTGCAGTGGACTACTCTTACTTCTCCCTGTCCATGTGTTCCTGCAGCCTGACCCCGGTGCCTGAGCCGGTGCTCAGGGAGGGCGCAGAAGGCCTCCACTGCTCTGAGCACCTGCTCTTAGAGAAAGCTCCCAGTTACGGCTCTGAGGGACCTGCCCAAAGAGTCTTGGAGGGCACGCTACTGGAATTCACCAAGGACATGGATCAGCTCCTCCAGCTAACCAGGAAGCTTGAGAGTAGCCAGCCCAGGCAAGGAGAGGGTAACAGGACCCCAGAAAGTCAGAAGAGGAAAAGCAAGAAGGCCACCAAGCAGACCCTACAAGATAGCTTCCTCTTGGACCTCAAATCCCCTCCTTCTTTCCCTGTCGAGATCTCTGACAGGTTGCCCGCTGCCTCCTGGGAGGGGCAGGAGTCCTGCTGGAACAAGCAGACTTCCAAGAGCGAAGGGACTCAGCCTGAGGGAACATATGGAGAGCAACTTGTTCCTGAGCTGTGCAACCAATCAGAGTCCAGTGGAGAAGGTGAGTGCTCTGGTATCACACTGGGGCCTCTTATTTGGGGATGACCACTGATTATCCTACCTACCCAGTTATTGTGAACCAGTTATAACTGGGTTTAAAATCCTTGTTAATTTTGTGCAATATTTGTTTTAAAACATTATATTCAGGTATCAGCTGAATTATTTGTAATTATACTCTGTTATAGATAGTTAATTTTAAACAGAAATTTCTATCTACTCCTGTATGTTAGACCTGAGAGCCACAGCTAGTAATTGGGTATCAATCTCTTTTCACTCAAAAATGAACAGAAGTATAAAGCCTCAATGTGAGTAAAATCAATCTCTCCTTACAAGAGAAGTGGAAATGTGTTGTGATAAACTACCTGTTAAGGATGCAATATGTTTTCTTTGTGGAAGATGAACCTCCCAAACCAGGCAAGAGGGGATGGACAGAAGGTGGCTCAAGCTTTGTTTTCTCAAATCTATAAACACAGAGATACACAGAGACACTCACAGAGAGGCTTATAGAGCATGAGAAATTCTGAAAATGAGAACTCGTATTTTCAAGGACCTACCATATTCTAGGTGCTTTACATCTATTACTTCGTGTAATATAACATATATTAGCATTTTCCCTTTTACAAGTAAGACCTTGTGTCCACATGAGGTCACAGAGAAGACTCTGACCTGATTCTTTGCACAGCTGGACATCACCCTGCATTGTATTGTCTGTATTTGAGGCCCATGTACTTTCCTCTACATTATGCTCTCCCTGGAGCTATATACAGACAGGTGTGGGCAAAGAGGAGGAGATGAGGGACATAGAAGGAGGTGTCTGAAAAATAGTGTTTTGGCCGGGCGCGGTGGCTCACGTCTATAATCCCAGCCTGACCAACATGGTGAAACCTTGTCTCTACTAAAAATACAAATAATTAGCCAGGCATGGTGGCTGCTGCCTGTAATCCCAGCTACTCATGAGGCTGAGGCAGGAGAATTGCTTGAACCCAGGAGGCGGAGGTTGCAGTGGCAGGAGAGTTGCTTGAGCCTGGGAGGCAGAGGTTGCAGTGAGCCAAGATCATGACACTGCACTCCAGCCTGGGTGACAGAGTGAGACTCCATCTCAAAACAAAACAACAACAACAACAAAAAACCCCAAAAACCTAGTGTTTTAAGTTCTCCCAGAAACCTGTTTTTCCTTCTTTGCCTCTAAATTTCTGGGAAACTTTTAATTAAAAATAAAAATTATTTTATTTTAATCAATGTAATAAGTGTACAATTTAATAAGCCAAATAATATTAAAAGTCACATAACCAGAAACAGTAGTTCCTACTCTTTTATACCACCCCTTTTACCCTTCTCTATTTCCAGTCCCATTCCCAGAAAATCCCACTTTGAACCAAAAATATGCTTCTTCTGTTAATCTGTCACTAAATAATGTATTTGCATTGCTACTTCTTGATATGTCAGTTTCTGACATCATCTTTTGAGTTGCTGTTATGGTAAATGAGGATTTGGTGCGATCTCAGCTCACTGCAACCTCCACCTCCCGGGTTCAAGCGGTTCTCCTGCCTCAGCCTCCCAAGTAGCTGAGATTACAGGGACCCACCACCACACCCAGCTAATTTTTGTATTTTTAGTAGAGATGGGGTTTCACCATGTTGGCCAGGCTGGTCTTGAACTCCTGACCTCAAGTGATCTACCCACCTCAGCCTCCCAAAGTGCTGAAATTACAGGCGTGAGCCACCACACCCTGCCTGGATTTAACTCTTATATGCCACTCTGACTTCTCCTTATTTAATGCCCCCAGAGTAGTTATCTCACAGTTTTTTATTAAATTAAAAGCTAGTATTCTTGTTATCATGACTAAGTAAATATTGCTCAGTTCTGAGCCATATGTTACACTATGATTACATTTCCTTTTTTGCTCAACTTTTGCTGTTTCCTGGAATTAATAATTGCCTTGGTTTTTTCTTTGCTTGGTTTTCTGTCATCATTTTTCTTTAAATGCTCTGGCAGATCTGTCAAATGCCTTTTTGTGTTATTTTCAAAATGCTCCAATTCTTCAGAAATGTATTCTTTTCTTTTTTCCCCTCTGTCCTATGGCTCCATCCTTCTGTTCCACTCTAGATTGTTTGTTTGCTAGGTCTGCTACAAAGCTGTTGTCTTAGAATTCCTCTTGTTACCACACTTCTGTGTCAGATCCAGGAAACAAGAGATTTCTTACCAAAGTCATGCTTTTACATAGTTTTTCTTTGATAATTCCCCACCCCCATCCCTCCATCCCCCCTCTATTATCTCGATTTTGTATCTTCTTAAATGGTTCTCTAATCTTCTTTCTTTTCTCTTTCCTATTGTTCATTTATTTGTTGTTTTTTTCTGGGATATTTCATGGATTTTCTCTCCCAAGGCTTCTAATGATTTTTTTTTTAAAGTGTTGGTTGTTGTATCAGTCACGATTAGTTTTGACTGAGGATAACAAAATTGCAAAATAATAGTGACTTCATCTAGCTCATACACAAGGATCCAGAGGTGGGCAGTCCATGGCTGCCATGGCAGCTCCATGGTCCTGAGTGACCCATGCTCCTTTATCACTTAGTATATTGTTCTGTGATCCAACATGTGGTTGCTGGGGTCACGCCATTACATTTATATTCCAGGCACTAGAAAAAGGGGAGGGAAAAAGGGCAAAAGGGTGAGCCTCTAAACTGAGTCATTTGGAGGAGGCTTCCTCAAAAGTCCCATTCCAACTTCTCATATTTCATTGGTTGGAATTTAGTCATGTGATTACAACAAACTGCAAAGAAGGCTGATAAAATTGTTTTTTAACTGGTCATATTACTACTTTACATAAAATTATGTGTTTTTTCTTTTTTTCCTAAGAAAGAAGGAGAGATAAGGTAGCAACTATCAGTCTATGCCACAATTATCCAGTTTTTAATTTCCAAGACCTCTTGGTTGTGATCTAATTTGTCCTTGTCTTTTTTTTTTTTTTTTTCTAATTTGAACATCATCTATTTTTGTTCTATGAGTACAATGGCTTATCTTCTCTCTCTGATACTATTATTGATCTTCCTCCTTTAAAATTTTTTTCTGAGGCTGGACATGGTGGCTCATACCTGTAATCCCAGCACTTTGGGAGGCTGGGGCAGGAGGATCACCTGAGGCCAGGAGTTCAAGATCAGCCTGGGCAACACAGTGAGACCCCATATCTACAAAAATTAAAAAGGAAGTTAGCTGGGCATAGTGGCATATGCCTGTAGCCCCGGCTACTCCAGAGGCTGAGGTGGGGGGATCTCTTAAGCCCAGAAATTCAAAGTTACAATGAGCTATGATCACTCCACCGCACTCCAGCCTGGGCGACAGAGCAAGACCCTGTCTCTAAAAATAAAAGTAAAAATAATTTTAAAAAGTTTTTCTGTTCCTTTCACTGTTCCTGTTTTCTTTAATTATTTTCTCTTTGGTTTGGGCTCTCTCTTTCTCTCTCTTTTTTTTTTTTTTTAAATCTTGGAGGCTTTTACTAAAATGTCCATTGATCTTTTGACTTCTTTTTGTACTTAAAAGTGAAGCACTCGCTGGGCACGGTGGCTCACACCTGTAATCCAGCACTTTGGGAGGCTGAGACAGGAGGAATGTTTGAGCCCAGGAGTTCAAGACCAGCCTGGACATCATAGCGAGATCCGGCTGCTACAAAAAACTAAAAAATTAGTGGGGGTATAGTGGCACATGCCTGTAGTCTCAGCTACTTGGGAGGCTGAGGTGGGAAGACAACTTGAGCCTGGGAAGTTGAAGCTGCAGTGAGTGGTGATCACATCACTGCACTCCAGCCTAGGTAACATATTGAGACCCTGTGTCTACAAAAATTTTTTTTCAATGAGCCAAGTGTGATGACACATGCCTGTAGTTCCAGCTACTCAGGAGGCTGAGGTGGGAGGATTGCTTGAGCCTGGGAGGTTGAGGCTACAATGAGCCATCATCACGCCACTGTACTCCAGCCTTGGTGACAGGGTGAGCCTCTGTCTCTCTTTTTTTTTTTTTTTTTTTTTAAGTGAAGTACTAAAAAACTGTTTAGAAGAGCTTTGTACATTAGCAGGGCTTGTTAATTGGGGCACCTTACTGTAGAATAAGGAGGAGTGGGCTAGACTTTTTACTGGAGGACCCCCAAATGTGAATATCTAGAGGTTTTTCTCTTGGGCTCTTCACGTTTTCCTCTGGAGGAGAGTTCTTTAATCCCTTGCCCGAGGGACACACAGATAGGTACGGGCATTCTGGGAACAGGATGAGGTGAGTGAGTTGGAGAGGGGTCCCACTGTTTAGGGTATAGATGTTCATTTAATTCCCTGCCTTCAAATTCCATTTCCACACTCTTTGCTGTGCCTGCTGTGCCAAGTTTAGGCACTCTCTGGCTTGATTGTTTCAAAGGAAAGCCCCCTTGAGGAGGGAATTGGGCAACAGAAGGGTTGTTACTTGGCTTCATAGGCAGAGAAAAGGATCTTGGTATACAACAAATATAGACCTCCCACAGCCCCCTATACCTTACCACTGCATGGGATGTGGTGCTTCCTGGTCCTGAAGCTGGTCTGCCAGAATGAACTGGGCTGCTCCCTGCCAGCACCCTCTCTGGGGGCCCTAGGGTTCACTCTCCTCTGCTCTGCTCAGTCTGTCACTACGGTCACCTTTCCATCTTCCAGGACTTGTTTTTATTTTTCCTCTCTCATTCTCTTCGTGTTTGTGGGTTTATGTCTGTTTCATTCCTTTTCTGTCTTCTCATTGGATTTTCAGGAGAGACGTGGACAGTCTGCAATGTTTAATCAAGGAAGTGGTCGCTGTCCAGCTGCCTAGTCTTAGAAATGTCATAGGTGTTGCTGACCATTCCCTCTCTCCCACTCCCTGCTGCCTTTACTTTGGTGCAGACGCTCATCATCTTGTACCTGGACTCTTGCTAAGTCTCCAAGACTCTCCCGCATCCCATTTCTCCTTCATGCTGCCCACTGAATGATCTTTCTAAAATAAAACTCTCATCATGTCTCTCTTACTTAAAAATGCTTGCTGGAATTTAACCCCTTCCGTGTAAAGTCCCAGATAGGGTGTACGATGCAAGGTTCTTCGCAATGCAGCCCTAACCTACGTTCCTGGCCACACTTCTCATGACAACCCATGCACTGTACGTTCCGCTTTCACCCAAACTGATGTCCTAAACACACCATGTTCTTTATTCCTTCCTGCCTTCATACACCCTGTTCTGCCTCCTCCGATTGCTTCACCTCCCCCTTCTCCATCTGGAAAACTCTGACATCATTTAAAATCCATCTGACTTTTAAGACCCACTTTCACCCCTTTTGGAGAAGGATTCTCTGATGTCTTCCACTGTGCAACCATAACATTTGATTCATATTAGTAATATAAACTATTATCTCATATTTATATCACATCATATTTATATCACATTTGTTCACACATTTGTCTTTAGGTTTATTTGTCTATCTTAAGGAAATAAATATTAAACTCATTTCTTTGCCACTAGATTGTCAGATTCCTTTGTTTTCAAACTATGTCTTTTTACCTCTGTACTCGTCACAATATTCCCATACAGTACACATAATGTAGCAAACACTCAGTAAAGCCTACTTGAATTGATGAGCAATTGAGCAAATTTTGGCTAAAACATTGAAGCATTGATCAAATAGAAAGAGTTAAACTATTATAAGAACCTAATCGTTGACAAACCAGATGCTATAAAATAATAATAATCAAATCACAATGGAATAAATATTCCTGAAAGCATGGATTTTAAAAATTAACTTGAGGCTGTATTTTATACCTTATATACACAAGAATTATTTATTTACAACAGCTGTGCAAGAGAGATTTTTTAACTACGTAGACATCATCAAAGACAAGATATCTGATTAAATAGAAATAAAAAACATTTGTACAACACAGTGTCACAGAAGGAAACAATTATTCTGACAAAACACAACTGATGAAAGCATACCTTCCAAAGCGTATTATTTTTAAAAACAGGAAGGTCAAAATCCAGATTTTACTGAAAAGATGTCAGGTGAGATAAATACAAAGTTTTACATTTGAAAAATTAATGCTCACTCATTCATGTCCATTCAACAAATGAATTCTTATTGTTAAGTATTATTAGTAGCTAAAAATAGCCAGCACTTACTGAGCACATCCTATGTGCCTGGCACTGAGATTAGCATTTAATATGAGCTATTTCGCTGAAGCCCAGATTTAGGCATTGTTCTGTCTTTCTACAGATGATAAAACTGAGGCTCAGAGAAGTTAAACACTTGCTCATGATAGGAGACAGTCAGAATTTGAACCCAGGTCAATCTGACTGTCAAACCTGTGCTCTTAACCACTACACAGTGTGTATGCCAACACTTGCAATGGGTATTTGTTTTGAACTAGGCCATGATATTGATTAAATGAACACAAATTAAATCATCTTTTTTTTTTTTTTTTTTTTTTGAGACGGAGTCTCGCTCTGTCGCCCAGGCCGGACTGCGGACTGCAGTGGCGCAATCTCGGCTCACTGCAAGCTCCGCTTCCCGGGTTCACGCCATTCTCCTGCCTCAGCCTCCCGAGTAGCTGGGACTACAGGCGCCCGCCACCGCGCCCGGCTAATTTTTTGTATTTTTAGTAGAGACGGGGTTTCACCTTGTTAGCCAGGATGGTCTCGATCTCCTGACCTCATGATCCACCCACCTCGGCCTCCCAAAGTGCTGGGATTACAGGCGTGAGCCACCGCGCCCGGCCTAAATCATCTTTAAGATAGCATTAAGCTGGGCATGGTGGCTCGTGCCTGTAATCCCAGCACTTTGGGAGGCCAAGGCAGGTGGATCACCTGAGGTCAGGAGTTCGAGACCAGCCTGACCAACATGGAGAAACCTCATCTCTACTAAAAATACAAAAATTAGCCGGGCATGGTGGCACATGCCTGTAATCCCAGCTACTTAGGAGGCTGAGGCAGGAGAATCACTTGAACCTGGGAGGTGGAGGTTGCGGTGAGTCGAGATCATGCCATTGCACTCCAGCCTGGGCAATAAGAGTGAGACTCCATTTTTAAAAAATAATAATAATAAATATATATAATTGCATATCTATTAAGCTATAAAAATTTAAATAAAAATAGCAGATTTGTGATAATTAGGTGTATGTACACATTGCTAGAGGCAACATCAATTGATTCATTCTTTCTTTCCTGTTGATTAAAGTTTTTCATCAAATTTGGGAAGTTTTTGGCTAATATTTCTTCAAATATTTTTTCTGCCCTTTCTTTTTCTCCTGTCCCTGTGGGACTTCCATTACATATTTATTGATATACTTGACATTATCCCATTAGGCCTCTGAGACTCTCTTTCCTTTGCTTCCACCTTTCCCCCTCTGTTCTTCACTTTGGATCATTTTTGTCTTGAAGTTCACTGATTCTTTCCTCTGTCATCTGAAATCTTCTGTTGATAGCATCTAGTACATTTTTCATTTCTGTTACTGTGCTTTCTAACTGTAGAGTTTTCATTTGGTTCTTTTTTATAGTTTATATTTCTCTCTCTCTCTTTTTTGAAACAGAGTTTCGCTCTTGTTGCCCAGGCTGGAGTGCAATGGTGTGATCTCGGCTCACTGCAACCTCCACCTCCTGGGTTCAGGCAATTCTCCTGCCTCAGCCTCCTGAGTAGCTGGGATTACAGATGCCCACCACCATGCTCAGCTAATTTTTTATTTTTAGTAGAGATGGGGTTTCACCATGTTGGCCAGGCTGGTCTCAAACTCCTGACCTTAGGGGTTCTGCATGCCTCAGCCTCCCAAAGTGCTGGGATTACAGGCATGAGCCACTGTACCTGGCCTTTAGTTTATATTTCTCTGTTGGTATTCTTTATTTTTAAAGTCATTGTCATCCGAATTTTTTTCTCATTAACATTATCGTTTTCTTTAATTCTTTAAATATATTTTTAACAGCTGCTTTGAAGTTTGAAGTCTTTGTCTGCTAAATACAACACATGAACCTACTCAGTTAGTTTCTTTTACTTGATGTTTTTCTTTCCTGAGCATGGATCACAGTTTTCTGGGTTTTTTGCATGTCTTGTAATTTTTCGTTGAAAACTAGACAATTTAAATAATGTATTGTAGCAACTCTTTATTCTGATATATATTTCTGAGTTTTTGGTTTTTTGTTTATTTTAGTAAATTGCCTGGATTTCAACTGTGGCATCTGCCTCCCCCGTGGTGTGTGGCTGCTGATATCGTTAGTCAGCTTTTTATTCTTATGTGTTTAGCCTTGCTTCCTAGGAGTTGCCCCCTGTGTCTGCATAGCCCTTAAGGCTCTGCATAGCCCTTAAGGCTCTGCTCTCTGCCAGTGGATCTGTGTGTCACTTGGGAAGCATAGTCAAAACTGGATCCAATTAGTTCCCCATTCTCCTCTGGGTTTTATGTTTTGCCAGGTTCTTTCAGGCCTCCCCAGGCGTGGGCGTAGTTTTCTAGTCATCCAGGGAAATGTGGGGAGGTTATCTAGTCTTTCTATGGTGCTCTCATTTCCAGGATCTCCCCATTAAATTTCTGCTGGTCTTCTGCTCACCCTAGCTGGGTCTGCACTTTCAGGCTAGCAAGGATTTTCCCCATTCATTTTTCTACTGTGCTTATCATATTTAGCATATAAAGCCACAGCCTTTTGCCCTGGCTTCAAATCAACTTTGCCCCTCTGACAGCAAACTGCTGGTTTCTGACCAGCTTCATGCTTAATGGGAGCAGCTTAGGCAAGAAGGCTACAGGCTTTCATGTTTCTTACCCTCAGCTTTAGAAATTTTTGAAAAATAAATACTTCTCAATTTGTTTTCTTCATCTGGTAAATTTCTGGAGCTCTGAAGTAAGTGTTTTGGACTATTTTGTCTAGTTTTATACGTGTGTGTGTGTGTGTGTGTGTGTGTGTGTGTGTGTGTGTGGAGAAGATTCACTGACCTCTTCATACTGCCATGGCTAGAAGTCCCTCTGGTTCATTGTTTGTGGAGAATGATCTTTCAAGATGTAACAAGAAACACAAAACTGTTTAATTGCCCTGACTTAGTAAGTCTATTTGAGGGAACTGTTTATCAAGGAAACAACCCCAAATCAGCCAAACAGCAAACCAAAAAATGTGTACAAGATTGTCATAGCTGCATTGTTTGTGCTAATGACAAATTAGAAATAAGTGCTCAGCATTTGGAAAGTGGTTAAGCAAATTATAACATCAACATGATAAAATACCACGTGGACTTTAAACATGATTCTGTGTGGACTAAGGCAATATACGTTATCAGTTTATACATGCTAATTAGAACTATGTGTTTATTTATTCTGATAAAGATATGAAGTGAATTTTCACAGAGGGTTTAATATTTAAGTAATTTCTATAAAATTACTTAAATTTATTATTTAAAAATTAACATAATTGGGGTTTCCTCCTTTATGCTTAAAGTGTTTATATCTGCTGTGAACATAGAACTTAGACATATCACTAGATTTTAAAGGTCAATTTAATATTTTGCCTTATATTTGTTATGTGTAGCATTTTTAACATGCACGATGCATGCTTGTTTGTTTTATGAGTAGAGGCTTGATAAAGTAAAGTTACCTGCCTAGTTGTAACTTCCTAGTATTTCTAGCATGAGAAGCTGTCCCCTGCCCCTCTGACAAGTTTGTACAACTTGCTTTCTCCAGCAAAATCTGAGACAAGAAAAAAAATTCCTCTAGTCACTTTGGAAGAGTTTTGAAACCCTAGCTATTCAGAATTATGAATAATTGTCTATTTTACAGTACCTATTCAAAGAGTCATTGAGCATCTTTGCATAAATTTTCCCTTACATTGCTGATATATAAAACAGCATTGTGGCTGCCTAGAGGACAAACCTTTCCTACTACTTCTGCCCAAGTTCCTCAGAACACACACACACACACACACACACACACACACACACACACACACACACACAATTCCCTTTAGGTTCAGTAAAATTGAGGTTGTGTAAGATCAAGTGTTGTAAAAGGGTGAGCTTTAACAGGTGACAGATCTCAAAGAGATGCAAAAATATAAGTTCTTAACCAATAGTGTTTCTTCTTCTTTTTTTTTTTTGAGACAGAGTCTTGCTCTGTTGCCCATGCTACAATGCAGTGGTGTGATCTTGGCTCACTGCAACCTCAGCCTCCTGGGTTTAAGCAATTCTCTTGCCTCAGCCTCCCAAGTAGCTGGGATTACAGGTGCGTTCCACCATGCCCAGCTAATTTTTTGTATTTTTTTTAGTAGAGACGGGGTTTCACCATGTTGGCCAGGATGGTCTTGATCTCTTGACCTTGTGATGCACCTGCCCCTTGGCCTCGCAAAGTGCTGGGATTACAGGTGTGAGCCACTGTGCCCGGCCTAGTGTTCCTTCTTAATAACCAAGAGGGCAACTGTATTTTACTAAGCCTATGTTTGCCATTAATTAAATTGTTAAAATTAAACAATTTTTTAAATAATTATGATTGCCATTAATTAAATTGTTAAAACTATACAATTTAACATGCTGAATAGACATAGAAGGTTTTTGCTGTTGTAGAGCTTACATTCTAGTAGGGGAAGACATATGATAAATAAGCAAATACACACTGTGATGTCAATAAGTGATAAGTACAAAACTAAACAAATAACCAATTTAATTAAATTGTTAAAACTATACAATTTAATTAATGGCAATCATAACAGAATTATTTATTTTTTGAAAAGTAATAGAGCCATCCATTCAGATCAATCTTGCAGACTTTATTTTAATCCATAATTATTAAGGAGACTTTTACTGAGCGCTTCCTATACACAAACTTCTAAATGCCTAGAGTTGGCATTTAGAATATAAAAGAGGGTCCTTATCCCTGAAGGTACAGATGTAAAAAAAGATAAGCATAATACTTGGAGGCACATGATGAATGCAAATAGATGTTGAGAGGATGAAGTCTTCTCAAGGTGTAGAATGATTTATTCATTCACCCACATGTATGGAATACCTCGTACATTCCAGACACTGTCCCAAGTGCTGGGGGAACATGCTGAATAGACATAGAAGGTTTTTGCTGTTGTAGAGCTTACATTCTAGTAGGGGAAGACATATGATAAACAAGCAAATACCATACTGTGATGTCAGTAAGTGATAAGTATAATGAATAATAATAGAGTAATGGGATAAAGAGAGACCAGGGTGGGGAGGAAGATGCACTGTTTCAGGTAGGTTTATTAGAAAAGATCTCACTGGGAAGATGATATTTTAATGGAGAACTGAATTGCATGAAGCAGTGAGCCATGCAGAGAAGTAGAAGAAGAGTTCCAGGTAGAGGACCTGGCATGTAAAAAAGTCCAGGTGGGAACTGGACTGGCAACTCATCAAGAATGGCAGAGGCCCAGTAGTGACTGGAGAGCAGTGAGCCAGGGAAGAGAGATGAGAGGGGTCCAGTGAGGAAAGCGGGGGCAGTGCTGTATAGGGCCATGTGGGCCATTGTGAGTGTGATGGAAGGCGCTGAAAGTTCTAGCTACAGCTACAATGTGACCAGAGTCAGTCTTTAAGAAGATCACTGGCTTTTAGAGGTAAGAGAGAGAGCCAAGGCCAATTTGGAGGTATATTAATTAGGGTAGGCTAAACAAATAACCAAAAAATGTTATTTACTTGCTTTACAGTGCAAGAAGGGTGTTCCAACTCCGTGGGAGGCTCTCTTCCATGCATCCACTCAGGGATCCAGGCTCCTGCCATTTGTATGACTTCACTATGCCCTCGGACCTAGTCATGTGAAGAATCAAGACTGAGTTACCACATTCAGATTTCAGGCAGAGGAAGGGGAAAGTGCACAGAGAAGAGGCACACATTCTCTTAAAGACCTTGGGCCAGGAGTGGCACTCACTGCTTCTGTTCACATTCTGTTGCTGAGAACTTAGTCACATGGTTACACCTAACAGTGAGAAATCCTGTGGACTGTACTCTAGCTGGGGTCTGTACCACAGGAGCCCGCTGCAGTAAATGGATGAAAGATGAAAGTGGGTTGGACTAGGATGGGAGCAATGGAGGCAGTGAGGAGTCATTGTATCCAGAATATATTCTGATAGTAGAATAAACAAGGTTTATGGATGGAATAAGTATAGGTGTGAGAGAAAGAAGGGAGTCAGGATGAATCTTACATGTTTGTGTAAATGGTGGTGTTATTTATTCAAATGAAGATTTGAGGTGAATAGATTTCTGTGTTAGTCATGTTAAGTTTAAGGTGCTTATTAGCCAACTAATGGGTGATACTGAGAAGACAATGAGCTATTCAAAACTTAAGTTCAAGGGAGAGGTCGAGGATGATGTAAACTTGGAGTCATCAATATATCAGTAGCATTTAAAGCCATGAGACTAGAAGAAATCTCTTAGGAGTGGGTATACATGGAAAAAAGGAGTGCTGAAGACTGAATGTTGGAATACTCCAATATTTTCAGGTTGGAAGGAGGAGGCGAGCCAGCAAAGAAGACTGAGAGAGTGGGCAGTGACATAGAAAAATCAAGAGAGTGAGGCATCTTAGAGGATAATTTTTCCAAGAAGGAGAAAGTGATCACATGTATCAGATGCTGCCTGAAAGATCAAATGGGATGAGGGCTAGGAGTTGACCACAGAATTTGAAAAGATTCAAATCATTGGCAACTTTGGTAAGAGTAGTTTTAGTGGAAAAGTAGATACAATCATAAGAGTGGGTTGAGGAAATAATGGGATATAGAGACTGCATAGGCAATTCTTTTGAGGAGGTTTGCTATAAGGGAGAGACAGCAATAGGACAATAACTAGGGGTGAGCTGTAGACATTTGTTTAGGTGGGAGAGAAGACAGTATATTTGTATTTGTTGGGAATGATTCAGTAGGGGACAGAAAAATTGATGATGTGAGAACAAAGTCCTTGAACAGGCCAAAAGGGATGGGATCCTGGCACAAGTGGAGGGATGGGCCTTAGTTAGGATCAGAGGCTGTTCATCCACCGTGAAAGGAAGGAAGGCAGAATAGAGGGTATAGATGCAAGTGAATTGGCTAATTGGGTGATGAGAGAACATGAAAAGTTCTCTTTGGAGAAGAGAGCTTGTAAATTTGTTCTATCAGAGAGTAGGAGGATGAGTTGCCTAGGTATGAGGCTGCTGAGTAATTCTGAAGCATGGGAGCAGATGTGTATGTAGGTAAGAGGTTAGGGAAAGCGGGAGGTAGGTGATGGAAATCAAAAACATACTAAGGCAAACTATCTAAAGGTCCCTCTGTAGACTATGAATGGTTGGAATGAGGAACAGCAGAGCAAATGAGCTTAACGTTGCTTTTAAAGGAGGTTATGGGCTGAGAGTAGATTGCTGAAAGTCATGATTTAGGAAGTGTAAGGTTACTGGTAATGACACACCGCAAGTGCAGCTAAGGGAGTTGACAGTTGGGATGAGTGAAAGAAAAGATTATTAGTATGAGGATTTCAAGGAATCGAGAAAGTAGGGCTTTGGATGAGTTGTTTTTGTAGAAGTCACCAATGATGACAATGGATGCTGATAGAGAAAAAGATGGTGAACCAGGGGCTGAAATATTTAACAAGCAAGAGAAGAATGACAAGTTGGTAAAAGACTGTAATGATGAAGGGTAGGGTGTGAAATAGTCTGATGGCATGTGCTTCAAAGGGGCTAGGTCATAAAGCAACAGTGACCAGAGAGGATGGGAGACTTGGGCTAGGAATACTTAGTGAGTTCTGCTACATGCCAAGCCCTAGGCTCAAGATGGATGTGGACCCTGCCCCCATGAAGCATATAATCCAATGGGCATAGAAACATGTAAATAAGTATACAACTACAAATGATGGTAAGTGCTGTGAAGGAAATGGGCCATAAGGAAATATTAATGGTATGTGGGAATATATTTAGATTTTCCTGTGGGGGCTGATTTCCCTGAGGAAGTGATAACTGAGCTGAGGGATGCATAGGAGTTAGATAAGCAGAGGGCTAGGGGATCCATGAGACGTGGATCCCAGATAGATTCCAGGAACCAACACATCAGGAGTGGTTGACATGGGGAAGAACACTGGTATATGAGACAGGATTTGGACCGTAGTGAAGAAGGAAGGGCTGGGCAGAGGAGATGACACAGTCAAGAGAGTTTGGCTGAAGTGGAAATTTGATATTGGAGAACAGAGAAGGGCTATGTAGGGAGCTTTCTACTATATTTCCTGAGCAACAAACTATGAAGGTTGAGAACACCTGAAGTTTTAGTGTTGAAATGAAGTATAAACATACTGCGAAGTTAATTCAACATATCATTTATTTGAAACATTATTGTGGTGTTCATGGTGATTAGACCATATTGTTAAACAATCTAGATGCATTTTCATAGTTAAATTGAGCATTTCTGCAGAAATAGAAAGTCAAATGCCTCATGTCTTCACTTATAAGTGGGAGCTAAATAATGTGTACACATTGACATAGATTGTGGAGTAATAGACTTTGGAGACTCGGAAAGGTAGGAGGGTGGGATTGAGAGATGAGAAATTGCCTAATGGCTACAGTGTACACTATTTGGGTGAGGCTTACACTAAAAGCCCAAACTTCACTACTCTGACATTAAAAAATTATTATTATTTTTAAATTGAGCGCTTCTGGAGCCAGCTGTAAACTGAGAATGCAGAGCTGAATAGAACATGACATAGCTCTGAAAGCCCTGTTGTGCCTGAAAGGATGAGGCAGGATCATGCATTTGTTTATTGCCAGGCCCCTTTCCCCTCAGCCATTTCAATTGCCAGAGGAAGGAATCAGAGGAGCTATTCTCCCTCCATCTTTCTCCTTCATCAGTTTCTGGTTGATACCTGAGACAGGTCTAACACGAGCTAACTTTCAGAGTCAGAAGGTAGCAAAGACCATCTCTCATTAGACAAAAGCCAACCTGCCCTAGCAGTCCCGGTGGTCACACCTGGAAGCCAAGAATACCAGATGTCTAGTTCTCCCACTCTAACACCTTACATCTGAAAAAGAGGGGAGAGCTGAGCTTCCAGTTGCCCCAGATGACATATCTGGACAGTTGTGCCTTGAGCATCAGAGGACCTTCCTCTCCACTCTGTCTCTCTCTTCTCTTTCTTTCTCAGATCCTTGGCTGGTGGGAGGCCATAAACACTTCTTTCTTCCTTCTGCAAGAGCAAGCCCTGGGAGATGTCTTTTAGGCTAAGTTACAAAATTGGGGAAGAGGAGCTCATAGGTATATTTTCCTAAAAAACAGTAGAGAGTTGATAGCAATTTGGCAGCCAAATCTTTGGCTATTTTTTAGATTTCTTCCTGAAGTCCAGGCTCCAAGAACAAGATGTCTGGAGAAGATCCACTTCTTTCTATACCCACATGTGCAACCCCTGGGTCTCCCTGTTGGGGGTGAGTAACTTCATCTTGATCTCAGTTGTTCTTGGGACAGAGTTCAGGTGGACACATGTGTGATCTTGGGCTGTGGGGGAGGAAAGATGGAGGGCCTAATTAGAAGCAATGTGATTTGCCTGTTGTATTAGAATTTAGATGAGACTACATATGGCAAGATTACATTTAATGACTGCTTATTTTAATCAATAATTTCCTTTTTAAATAATTGTCTATGATAACTTCTGGGTTACTAAATTTTAAGGTACGCTAAGTTATCATACTTTCATCCTAATTTGTTTCTTATAGGGAGGAATGGGACAAGGAGATAAGATAGAATATCTAGTTGATAGTTTTAATTAAAGAGTTATTTTCAGAAGGTGTCTGCCCAAATATCTGCTTAAGTGAGGTTTTTTGAATTCTTCATAAACTTCAATTATTCAGACTTTTACAGTGATCAGAAGTTGATGAGAGGGAATGTTGTTGCTGAAGACATTAGCCTTGTGGCTTGCTTACCATGTAGAAAGCCATTAGGTGATTTGCTCTTCCTACTCTGTTTTCACAGGCTGTTGGGTCCCTTCTCATCATGTTTGTGATACAGTGGGTGTATACCCTGGTTAACATGGGTGTTGCTGCCATCGTGTATTTCTACATTGGCCGGGCCAGTCCAGGGCTTCACCTTGGTAAGCAGCAGAGCCATTTTGCCACTGGTTCCCTCATTCTCTCTACCATTCATTGGGAAAAAAAAGATTTTGAATATCAATTGAATGCCAACACTGATTCAGATGTGAATCCCATTTTCAAATAATTTATAGTCTAGGAGGAGAACTGTGACAAGCACATGAATGATTACCAATAAAAATAATAACTTAAAAATGAGGTTTATAAGATATGTAGAAGTAAAAATGAATAACAATAGTCCAAGAGCTAGCAGTGAAGTGAAAGTATACTGTTGTAAGTTTCTTATACTTTGTTAAATACTATAACATCACTTGATGGCGGATTGTGGTAAGTTTAAAATGTATACTATAAACCCTAAAGCAACCTAAGATAACACAACAGTTATAGTTAAGCCAGTAAAGGAGATAAAAAGTACTCAATCAAAATAAGGCAGAAAAAGATAATAAAGGACAAATGAGACAAACAAAAAACAAATAACAAGATGGTTTATGTATATGTAATCCCAGCCATATCAATAATCACACTAGATATGGGTGGTCTAAGCACCCTAATTGAATGCCAAAGATTGTCAGATTGAATGAAAAAGCATGACCCAACTATATGCTGCCTACAAGAATCCTTCTTTATATGTAAAGACACAAACATGTTAAAAGTAAAAGGAAGGAAAAAGATACATCAGGCTAACACTAATGAAAAACAAAGCAGGGTAGCTATATTAACATTAGGCAAAGTAGAGTTTGGAGAAAAGAATATTACAGTGATAAAGAGGGTGATTTCATGAAGCTGAAGGGAAAAATACATCAGGAAGACATAACAAAGCTTAACATTTATGCACTTAAAAACACAGCTTTGAAATACACAAACCAAAACCTGATAGAACTACAGGAAGAAATAGAAAAGTTCACAACCATAGTCAGAGATTTCAATACCTCCTTCCTAATAATTGATAAATAAGTATACAATCAGTAAGTCTACAGAAGACTTGAATAACACTATCAACAAACCTGGCTTAATTGACAGTTAGAGAACATTCTACCCCAAAACAGCAGAATATATGTTCTTTTCAATTATACATGAAACATTTACCAGGAGAGACTATATTCTAGTACATAAAAAATATTTCAATAAATTTAAAAGTATTCAAGTCAATTCAAGAACAGAGTATGCTCTCTGACCAGAGGGGGAATAATTAGAAATAAATAACAGAAAGATATCAGAAAATCCTTGAATAAGCCAGGCACAGTTCGCACACACCTGTTGTCTTAGCTACTTGGAGGGCTAAGGCAGGAGAATTGCTTGAGGCCAGGAGTTTGAGGCCAGCCTGGGCAAAATAACAAGACTCTGTCTCCTAAATTAAAAATTAAAAAAAGAAAAGAAAATCCCCAAATATTTAGAAACTAAAGAATATTACATAACCCTAATTAAAATACAGAAAATAAATAATCCATGATTCAAAGAAGAAAGCAGAGTGAAATTACAAAGTATTTTGAACTGAATAAAGGTGAAAATGGAACAGCAAAATTGTGGGATGTAGCTAAGGAAAATTTATAGCATCAAATGCTTACGTTAGAAAAGAAGATCATTTGCAAATCAGTGATCCCAACATCCAACTTAAGAAACTAGAAAAAGAAGAGCAAATTAAACCCAAAGTAAGAGCCCAGTAGGCAGAGGTTGCAGTGAGCCGAGATCAAGCCATTGCACTCCAGCCTGGGCAACAGAGTGAGACTCCGACTCACAAAAAAAAAAAAAAAAGAGAAAAAGGTTCTTCAGAATTAGAATAGTCTGATGCACTTCAAACACTTTGAAAGAAATGCACTTCAAACATTTTAAGTCGTGTGTATTAAAAATAATGATTTAGAAAACAGTAATGTTAAGAAGAGGTCCTTATGTTAGCTGACTTCATGGATAGAATATATTTTAATTAACAGTGATTACTTCAGTGATTGCTTCTTTATTTCTTAAAAAGTAGTTTGATCTTAAGAAATTTCAATTATTTCCTAGAAATCTATTCATAGGAAAACATGAAATCAAATTTCAGGCCAATGTCCATCTAAAATTCAAATAATTTAGAATCTAAATTATCACACTTAAGTAGGGTGAGTTAATAAAATATGTTTATTTTCTTCCTTCTGACAATCTCAAAATGTATTAGAAATCTTCTCTTTGCAATTGCAAATGCAGATCTAAAATTTATCTTCCCTTTAGCCATAAGGGCCTAAATGATATTGAGGAAACAGGTTATCAGCTGCATACTGTTGATATTTGTGGAGATTTTAACATAAGCCTCTTAAAATAATGCTATTTTCCTGATCATATATTGAACATTATCTAATCAATCAATTTTCAATCATATGTATGTATAATTTAGGAAAGCATTTTCTAAAATCACATTTGATTTGTTTCTCTAAAGTTATATATAATTTACTATGTGAATTTTTTTAAACCTACACCAAAGGAGGAATGGATTTTTTTCAATTGATAAACCCTATTCAAATCTGTGTGTTTGATGTCAGGATTATTTGGCTAGAATCAACAACAATGTCACTTCAAACTTCAGCTCTAACATTTCTACATGTGGAACTATTTGATTCACTTAACACCTGTTAAAAAAATTCTTAAGTGCCAGATCCTGTGAGGTACTGTGATGATTATAAGGATGAAAAAGACATGTTCCCAATTCTCAGTGTATGGTCTAGTAGAAAATTTTATGGCGTGTATTCAACACTTGTCAGTATGAATCTTAAAAAATTTATCAAAGTTTTTTAATTCTTAAGACTAAAGTTAGCAAGTCTCTGCATTTGTCTTTATAGCAC
Organism: Homo sapiens; assembly: GCF_000001405.40. Classification (NCBI taxonomy): domain Eukaryota; kingdom Metazoa; phylum Chordata; class Mammalia; order Primates; family Hominidae; genus Homo; species Homo sapiens. The sequence goes on along the minus strand of NC_000003.12, from coordinate 125,088,627 downwards.
TTTATCCAGTTTTTTGGGAGTGATTTTGGAGTTTGGAAATAAACTTTTGAAGGATTCACATGAGTAAAAGTCCTTAGTAGGCTGCTGTCATGGAAGATTACAATGAAAATTATTTGTTTAGACTGAAAAAGGAAAACATTTGTGTTAATTCTGTGCGTGTGTGTGTATTGGGGTTTGCATTCACCCTATTAAAACTGAGCTTCTAGATGCCTTATGTAGAACCTTCAAAAATGGTTATGTATATGTCTTCCCTGCAGGATCAGCCTCCAACTTCAGCTTTTTCCGGTGGATGAGGTCTCTCTTGCTCCCCTCCTGCAGGTCTGTGCCAATTTGGAGCCAGTACCAGAATGGATGAGTGTCCAGAGTCCTGGGAGGTGCCAAGGGTGTCCCATTCCTGGCTGGGCTTGGGCCTGGATTGTGGCATGGGAACCTAACAACTGGGCACCTCCGGGAGACTCAGATGTTGCTCCTGCGTGCACTCCACCACACTCGGCCCCCAGATTCGGCTCATCAGAAGCTTCCTCTAGGCTCATGTCCTCTTCCCTTCTTATCCTCAGTCATCAAGAACAGAGGCTTTATTTAGAATCTGGTTGCTGGGGTGATAAGTCACTACTCTCAGTGAGTTTACAGTCTAAGACACATTCACATCAATGCATAATCACACACAAGATTAAAGCCCAAGGGAAATGTAACGCCAGGAAGCACATTCTTCCATCTGAGTCAGAGGTAGTTGACATGACTGGGTTGGGGACAGTGCAGAGGCCAAGTATAGAAATAAAGTGGAGATCCTGGAGGATTTCTGTGGGACCTCTATGGTCAGATATACAGGAAAGGAGAAAAAAAACTTTCCTGAGAAATAGAAGCCTCATAGAGAGGGTATATTTCACATGTGCCCTAATCTCACTCCTTCTCCTCCACTCTTGCAGTATCACTGCTTCTTACCTTTTAAGGCCCTGGGATTCTGGGGAATTACACCCACCCTCTGTCCCCTTTCAATATCAGTGAGGAGCTAGAGCTGCAGGCTAGGAAAATCCAGGCAGAACCCAACCGAGTGTTCATTTGGTTGCATTTTGTTGGTTTGTTTTTGAGACTCTAGATGTCCGGGTTGTACTTGCTAATATTTCCACCCTGCATGTTCAGACATTGCTAGTGGATCATGGGATCCTTTCCCATTGATCCCAGATGTAACTTCATAATCCTTTTTTCTCCTCATTTTAAAAATTATGGTAAAATAGGGCTGGGCGTGGTGGCTTACGCCTGTAATCTCAGCACTTTGGGAGGCCAAGGTGGGCAGATCACCTGAGGTCAGGAGTTCAAGACCAGCCTGGCTAACATAGTGAAACCCCATCTCTACTAAAACTACAAAAATTAGTTGGGCATGGTGGCGTGCCTGTAATTCCAACTTCTAGGGAGGCTGAGGCAGGAGAATCGCTTGAACCCGAGAGGCAGAGGTTACTGTGAGCCGGGATCGTGCCACTGAACTCCAGTCTAGTTGACAAAGTGAGACTCCATCTCAAAAAAAAAAAAAAAAAAAGTGAAATACATGTAACGTGAGATGTACCATCTTAGCCATGTTTACGTGCAGTGTGCAGTTCAGTGGCATTAAGGACATTCACGTTGCTGTGCTATCATCACCATGCCCATTAAACACTCTGCATTCCCAAGAATCCTATTTAAGACAACTCTTCACAAATAATTGCCAATCTATTCAAGATGGCACAAGAAATAAAGCCTTCGTGCTGGAGCTTGGGATGACAAGAAGCAGCAGCAAGGGCTACAGACACCAGCAGGGACAGGGCCCAGGGATGGAGGCTGGGGTGCATGGGGAGCACCCTGTCATCTGCTTACTTGGGCCAGCTGGTCTCAATGTCTCATGTGGAGCTGCAGAGAGGGTGAGTGATCTTTCTGCCTCTTGTCCTGTCCGATGCACAAGGTTGGGTGAGCCAGGTCACAACATTTCTTCACTGATCTCTTCTCCCCTACAACCCAGTCCTGAGAAAGAGTAGAGTTTAAATGGAAATAGATTCTGTGTAAAAGCTGCCTACAGATTCTGGAGCTGCAAGTGGTGTGTGGGTGAGACTATTTTTTTGCCTTGCCTGATTTACAGGAATATTTTTAGTCATTTCTGGTTTTAAAGCCTAAAAATGCCATAGGAGGTCACCAGTCCTTATGTTGTACTCTGAATTCCTAGGATTTCACCTTGGAGGTCACAGCAGTGCTATGTAGAAAGAAGAATGTACTAGGGGGAGATTATTCTTAGAAAAGGACAGTACTTTGGTTGGAGTAGAATCAGTCCACACCATTCATAACACAAACACCAGGCTCTGTGGGCTGTGAGGTGGGGAGCAGAGGCCTCAGCTAAGTCAACATCAAACTTATTGGCCTTACCATGGCTGCTGGGCGATATTTTGGGATGGTTATTCAGGAGGTTGAAAGAACCAAGAAAGGCTGGGCGCAGTGGCTCACACATGTAACCCCAGGACTTTGAGAGGCTGAGGCGGGTAGATCACCTGAGGTCAGGATTTCAAGACCAGCCTGGTCAACATGGCAAAACCCTGTCACCAGGCATGTGGCAGGTGCCTATAGTCCCAGGTACTGAGGAGGCTGAGGCAGGAGAATCACTTGAACCCGGGAGGCGGAGGTTTCAGTAAGCTGAGATCGCACCATTGCGCTCCAGTCTGAGCAATAGAGTGAGACCTTGTCTCAAAAAAAAAAAGAAAAAAAAATGGTGATTTATTTTAAAATAGAGATTGGTCAGATGCACTGGCTCATACCTGTAATCCCAGCACTTTGGGAGGCTGAGGCAGGCCGATCACTTAGGCCAGGAGTTTGAGACCAGCCTCGGCAACATGGCAAAACACCATCTCTACTAAAAATACAAAAGTTAGCCGGGTGTGGTGGTGCACACCTGTAATCCCAGCTACTTGGGAGGCTGAGGCATGAGAATTGCTTGAACCTGGGAGGCAGAGGTTGCAGTAAGCTGAGATCAACCACTGCACTCCAGCCTGGGCAATAGAATGAGACTCTGTCTCAAATAATTAAAATAAGATAAAAAATAAAAATAGAGATTGGTAGCTGTGTTTCTGCTTTGTAGTTTTGAGTTCCCCTCCCAGTCCCCAACTATAACCCCCAAAATGCTCTTCAAAACCTAAGAAGAAGAAGAATGTAGGGTGTGTTTTGGCAGAAGAATTTGGCTAGGTTACTTCCTCTGTTATGCCTACAATTCCCATGAACTATGTGAAGTTGAGCCTGTCATTGAGAAGGCTTTCTTTCTTGAAGCACTAGCAACTGTCCAAATGAGGATTTGAAAGTCATTCTAGACTAGAGAGTGAAGTATTTTACTTCTCCAGACTCAGAAGAATGTAATGGTTTCACCTAAAAAATCAAAACAAAAGCATTAGCAAAAACACTTACATGTTGACTGGTGTGACATTTTTGTCACCTCCTAAACTTTTTGGAGATTCAGCCTTTATAGAAGTTAATTCAGTTCTCAAGAACCCTCAGAGACCTATATGATTTATACATGTTCTCAACAACTGGCTGTAATGCCATAGTCATGTGATCTGAACTTCTATAGCAGGACATTTGGCCAGAGTCCGTTGAAACTTTCTGTTTAAGTTCCACAGATCAATAACATTAGATTTCTACCTTTTCGCAACTCTCAAATGTATTCCATATTCAAACAATTGAAACTTATTACTCATAAAGTAGATGATTCTTTTAGAGTAAAAATTTTAAGAGGAAATCCATGTCTAAGGTATGACTTACAGACCTAACACAGACTATAGGAACTGGAAGAGACCCGGGAAGATGAGAAAATAGAGACACAAGAAGGTAAAGAGGCTTCTGGAGGCCACCTAGCTGATTAGGGATGGAGCTGTGACTGGGTCTGCCTTCCGTAGCAGCTGCCTGGACAGCCAGCCTGAGCTTTCCTCACTCCTTTCTTCCTCTTAGCACTTTCCCTATGCATCCCTAACATTTTTCTTTCCCAGTTTATTCCAACCGAAACTGTATGCAGAGACTCCAGTGACAGTGGGATCCATATGGGACTTGCTCTTCACCTGAGGCCACCTTGGTGTCAAAAGCCTTTGCAGTCCCTCTTAGCTGCTTGCTGTGTGAGCCTTAGCTCTTGAAATCACTCCTTATTCAACTTTCTTTTCAATAGACCTACGAGAATTTTCTCTTTCTGCTCTTCTCAATTTTCCAGCCTCTCCATTCCATTATTTTTGACAAAAAAAAAGGCAAAGAAAAGCTACAGAGCCCCAACATGATACCATTTGGAGGGCAAAACCTCTCTTTGTTGGTTATTTCCTATCAGGTAGGTACAGCTTTATACTTTTCTACTTAGGGAGGGTAAATATCACTCTCTCTGTCTCTTTTTATTTTATTTGATACTTTGTATTTCTCATGCTTTGAGTTCATATATACCTGTACATATACCTTTCAAGAATTATGTTTTAAACATTTAAATACATGTGTGTTTACAGATAATTTCTTTATGCCCAGTAGACTCACCTCTACTGTTCAGTCTCTGTTCTGTCCTTCTCACCATCCTCTGTGTCTCTCTCACTGCAGGAGCTTGCGGTCCCCTCAGGAGCAGATCATCTTGGCGCCGTCCCTGGCTAAGGTTGACATGGAGATGACTCAGCTCACCCAGGAGAATGCAGACTTCGCCACTCGGGATCGCTACCACCACTCCTCCCTCGTGAACCGGGAGCAGCTGATGCCTCACTACTAGATGCAGTGCTGGGACCTTCCTCTTTTGGAGCTGTCCCATGTACAGTGGACCCAAGCTCAGGACCTTCGTGGAGCTGCTTCTCCAACCTGAGAAACTCAAGACCCATCCTCCCGCTGTCACTTTGGACAATGGAAATCTACATTTTCTTTTCCCTTTTTTTTTTTTTTTGAGACAGAGTCTCGCCCTGTCACCCAGGCTGGAGTCCAGTGGCACAATCTTGGCTCACTGCAACCTCTGCTTCCCGAGTTCAAGCAATTCTCCTGCCTCAGCCTCCTGAGTAGCTGGGATTATAGGCATGCACCACCACACCCAGCTATTTTTTGTATTTTTACTGGAGACAGGGTTTCACCATGTTGGCCAGGCTGGTCTCGAACTCCTGACCTCGTGATCCACCCGTCTCAGCCTCCCAAAGTACTGGGATTACAGGCGTGAGCCACCATGCCTGGCCAGAAATCTATGTTTTCTTAGAACATGTGGAAGAAGGAAAAAGACAAAAAAGGAAATCTGGATTCTGAGGACCACGTCTCACCCAGGGTGACATCAGGAATGGTGCTAGCCTCTGCAACACGACACCCAGTCTGAAGAGCTCTATACAGGTACTAAGACTAGCAGGGGACACCAAGACTCTGCACAACCAGATTGCTTGTGCAGAGGGCCACAATAAGTGTATGTTTTATATTTTATTGTATTATTTATTCAAAAATAAATAATACACTCACATGTTTCCACACCCAAAAGATATATAGAGTGAAAAGTCTCCCTCCAATCCTTATTCTCCACCTGCTCAGTTCCTGTCTACCCTGGCCTAGAGGTAACCACTATTCTCATCCGTACATCCAGCATTTCTTTATGGATATACAAGCAAATGGGAATGTAGAGTCTCACATTCTCTCTTTATACACAAAAGTTAGCACGTTATACACATGTTCTGCACCTTGCTTTTTTCCCTTAACAATCTATCTTGGAGACATTTCATATCAATTCATATGCCATTTGTTCATTTTTTTCATTGTATAAATGTGTTATAATTTATTTCGCCAGTTCCACAATGATGAGCATTTGGATTCTTTCCAATCTTTTGCAATGACAATCAGCTCTGCAGTGAATAATCTTGTACAAATGTGCAAGCATAAAGTGTATCTCTAGGATAAATTCCCAAAAGTGGAATTGCAGGATCAAAAGGTACATGCATTTGTAAACTATTATTGTTTAGTGAGGGTCTTTTTAATTAAAGAATTAACATGAATTGCCTAATGGTGACTCATATTCTCAAAAGAATTTGTGGTCCTCAACTCCTGGAATGCCTTCGCAGCTGTTTTGCAACATGAAAGGCATGAGGGGACAGGACTCTTTTGGTTTCCTTATGAGCTCTGCCTGACATTCATCACAAGCACCCAGTACCGGGGGCCGTGGCAGTAGCTTTCCCCAGAAAAGTTTAGCACTTGGCCCAGGGTCAGAGGCTTCGCCATCAAGCCATGGAGGAAAGTACTGTTGGATCACTTCTGGCTCCTTCTTCTATAGTGGAGGTTCTCATGAATCAGTGGGCTAACAATCACCTGGGATGCTTGTCAAAAGTGCAGATTTCAGGCTGGGCTTGGTGGTTCACGCCGGTAATCCCAGCACTTTGGGAGGCTGAGACGGGTGGATCACTTGAGGTCAGGAGTTCGAGACCTGCCTGGCCAACATGATGAAACCCCGTCTCTACTAAAAATACAAAAAATTAGCTGGATGTGATGGCGGGCACCTGTAATCCCAGCTACTTGGGAGGTTGAGGCAGGAGAATCGCTTGAATCTGGGAGGCAGAGGTTGCAGTGAGCCGAGGTCACACCACTGCACTCCAGCCTGGGCAACAAGAGTGAAACTCTGTCTCAAAAAAAAAAAAGTGCAGATTTCTGCATCTCACCCCTAAACTTTTTATTTGGCAAGTCTGAGATGGAGTCCTAGACTTTACATCTTTAACAAGTGCCTCAGGTGATTCAATGCAGGCAGTCCTTGGACCGCATTTTGAGAAATGCTGAGCTGTTGAATGGAAGGGGCTTAGTGTGGGTGAGGGCTGGGAAGGTCAGGATGAAGGGTCAGCTAGATCCTAATGTTCTCTCCTGGAAGATGAGGTTTCATTTATTATTACTGTTCTCACAATCTGGCTTTAGTTAAATACCAGATTTCTGAGCATCATTAGAAAGCAGAGTCTGAGTTGGCAGTAGGCATGTAGGAAGGAGAAATGCTGAAAAAGGTTGTAGCTATGAAGGGCTAAGTTGGGTGACCTTGGAGGACCTTTTTATTTATTTTTGAGACAGGGTCTCACTCTGTCATCCAAACCGGAGTGCAGTGGCATGATCATAGCTCACTGCAGCCTCCACCTCCTAGGTTCAAGTGATCCTCTCACTTCAGCTTCCTAAGTAGCTGAGACTACAGGTACACACCACCACGCCTGGCTAATTTTTTTGGTATATTACCCAGGCGCTTTTTAAGAAGAAGCTGTTCTAGTTTCCTGTGGCTACTATACCAAATTACATAAATCGGATGGCTTAAAAACAACAGAAATGTATTCTTTCACAGTTCTGGAGGCCAGACATCTGAAATCAGTAACACTTAGGTTAATTCAAGGTGTCAGCAGGGCCGAGCTCCCTTCAGAGGCTCCACGAGGGATTTATTCCCTGCCTCTTCCAGCTTCTGGTGGCTTGTGATCACATCACCCAAATCTTTAAAGCCAACATTTTCAAATCTCTCTGTTCCATCTTTACATCACCCTCTCCTCTGTGTATATGAAGTCTACCTCTGTCTCCTTTCTGTAAGGATACATGTGATTGCATTCAGGGACCACCCAGATAATCCAGGATCCTCTCCACATCTCAAGAGCTGTACTTTAATCACATCTGCAAACGCTTTGCCAAAAGAGGAAACATTCACAGGTTCCAGGGAATAGGACGTGGGTCTTTTGGGGGGCCCTTTTTCAGCCTATCACAGAACCTTTACTGAATCTGCTTTTTTGAATTCTACATAACAAGCTAAAAAAGTAACCACTCTGTTTAAGCCCTTTGGGAGCCCTCATTGCCTCCCCATTGATGGATTAGGTAAGGACATGATCTAACCTTGGCCAAGAGCACCTGAGATGGGGTCTCAGGGCTTCCAGAGATGGTTGCCCTTTCTCATGGATATTGTTGGCCCCACACATGATGCCTGTATGAGACTCATCGAGTTTCCAACTCTTCTAGCCCAGGAGTTGCCTGCCTTACACTGCCCTGGATTGTGTGACAAAGAGTTTAAGCCACTTCAATCCTGGGGTTCCTGCTCATTGCATGGGATGGATTGAGAACAGTATCAGGCACTGCTCGCCTTAAGCACCAAGTGCAGGAGCCACCTGTGCTCCCAAGGCGTGTGCTTCAGTTGGTGCTTTGTCACAGTCATTTACTGGTGATAGTTTAATAGAGAAGGGAAGGCTTTTGTGGGGAGTCCTGACTTTGCTTCAGAAAGGACAGCAGAATGGTAAGGAATAGGTCAAAATTCAGGTATGGTCTCATTTGCATTGTTGCCCAAGAGCTTCCTGGAAAGAGTACAGAGCTCTGTGGGCCAAGTCTTGTGGCCTAGATATCATGACTACATGTTGGGCCTAGAGCTCAGCCTGAGGGACCATAGTTGTCGTGACAGCCTCCAGTAGTTCCTGGAGCAGCAAGAATAAGGTCTCTTGTTTACAGAGGTTGTCCCACACTCCTCAGCAGTGTTGAGAAGAGGTTGTCTCCAGCACCTCCCTAGGAGACTGGTCTCAAAAGTCTAGAAACCAGTAATCAGATGTCACTCACTGTAGGATACAAGTGGAATGATATTCTACTAGGAAACAAGCATTTCTAAAAAAATTACAAAAATGTAAACTGGTAACTCTGATAAATGCTTAAAGGTGACATCTCTGATGGTGTCCATCAAGACTAAGCTTGATTCTCTCCATTTGAAGACCTCTGGGTCAGTCCTCAAATCTGTGTCCTGAGGGCTTAAGGTAATCACAGCAATCGGCCCTGACTTTTGAGTGGACAGATCCTTATCTTGTCTGCTCCTTTCCTTTTGTGCTGTTATGACTAATCTTTTTTTTTTTTTCCTTTGAAACATGATCTTACTCTGTCACCCAGGCTGGAGTACAGTGGTGCAATCACAGCTCACTGCAGCCTCAACCTCCTGGGCTCCAGCCATCCTCCCACCTCAGCCTCCCAAGTAGCTGGGAGTGCACCAGCGTACCCAGCTAATCTTTGTAATTTTTGTAAAGATGGGATTTTGCCATGTTGTCATGCTGGTCTCGAATTTCTAGGCTCAAGTAGTCCTCCTGCCTCAGCCTCACAAAGTGCTGGGATTACAGGTATGAGCCACCCCACCCGGCCATGACTAATCTTAATATGTCTATTTTTGCTCATTGTCACTGAGTGGACCTGGAGGCTGAGGGCTGGAAGAGCAACTGGAATTGCTGTAGTGCCAAATATATCCCCTTTCATGTTGATGCCACCCTGGCCAAGGTATCATTTTTGTGTGGCAGCCAGAGAAATCTTTTCAAAAAGAAGGTGGAGCTCTAGTCCTGTGGCTGCCAGTTGTCTTCAGGTCCCGGCCTTTCCTGCCCCCAGGCTCATCTCTATCCAGGACTGCCTGGGAGTCCAGCTCCAGTCAAGTTCAGAGGTAACAAGCAACGTTATTGTAGCTTTATGTAAAATAACCAGAAAGTAGAAATGACCCAACTCTCTATTGACAAGAATGGATCAACATCCTGTTGCATCCACGCAATGGAATCCTAGTGAGTATTAAAGTAATGACACAGGAAACCATGTAGCTGAATTTTAAAGCACTGGGTAAGTAAAGGAAGCCAGGCACAAAAGATGAAATACTTGAAGTTTTATTTGTTTGACCTCCAGGAAAGGCAGTAGCACAATGACAGAAGGCTGGGTCTGGGTCTGGGAGGGGGTCGATTGCCAAGGGCATGACACAACTTTTTGTGGTGAGGAAATTCTTCTTCTTCTTCTTTTTTTTTTTTTTTGAAATGGAGTCTCGCTCTGTCACCCAGGCTGGAGTGTAGTGGTGCGATCTCGGCTCACTGCGACCTCCGCCTCACGGGTTCAAGTGATTCTCCTGCCTCAGCCTCCCAAGTAGCTGGCATTACAGGTATGTGCCACCAAACCCAGCTAATTTTTGTGTTTTTAGTGGAGACAGGGTTTCGCCATGTTGGCCAGGCTGGTCTTGAACTCATGACCTCAAGTGATCCTCCCGCCTCAGCCTTCCAAAGTGCTGGGATTACAAGCATGAGCCATTGCGCCTGGCTGGGGAAATTATTCTGTAACTTGATTTCGGTGGTGGTTTTATGATTATATCCACTTATTAAACTCATTGAATCATACACTTAAGAAAGTAACCACTCTGAAAAGGATAGTACTGAGTTTGAAAACCAGCAGTTTGAAAAAGATGGTACCAAGGTTAAAAACCAAATGCAGTAGAATATCCAAGTATCCAGGAAGAGCACCTTCCTAATGTGATTGATTTTATGGAAAAGAATAAGAGAAGAATGGAGCATGATAAAGAATTCAAACATTATTTTCCACATTGGGGTCGCCAAAATGAATGGCTCGGTCTAGTGTAGGAGGCAGGTGCTACACAGGCTGACTTTCTAATGAGGTCCAAAAATCTTGTATTTCACTCCAGCTAGATTGTGAAAATAGTAATAGTAACACCAGGTCTTAGCCTGGGTTTCTCAGAAAGCGGAAGCTTATGAGCTACCCCTTGATTGGAGAGTGCAGCCACAGAAGCAGGATGAGAGGAAAGAGGGGTAAAGCAGGGGAGGAGGGCTAGCAACAACTTAGTATCATATGCAAATGATGCTTCACCTCAAAGGACTCTGCTGAGAAACCACAGGAACCCTAGGGGTAGGAAGGGATCAGAATTCATCTACTGGCTTCTGCTTCCCATAACCAAAAGTTAGCTCTGGGTGGGCACCAGCAACCCTGCCATTGTGACCTGCACGACGTGAGTGCTTAGCAGGCTGCAGCAAGAAGACACTGGCTGCAGCCCACCAGAACTGGTTGTTCCAGTGGCGGCTGAGATGGAACAAGTGGACTTGCCCCAGAGACAGGTGGAGCAGAGAGGATCTGAGGTGGCACATTAAGAGGGATTATAAATAACGTGCATATTGACAGAGGTCAGTGGTAAGTACAGGTTGTCAGACAAAACATGCATGTCACTGGATCATTCTTATCTAAAGGATGCCCCCAAAATGTCAGTACAGCCGGTATATGTGACAGTGAGACCAGCAACATTTTCTAAGATAGGGAGAGGGGCAGGTTCCTGGCCTGAATTTTACCAAGAAGTCCACAGTTGTAGGTGATAATGTCTGAATGAGTGAAGGTTGTATCAGACCTTCTGGGCCCATGAAGGTCTCCCTTCAGACCAGTCTATAGATTGATCCATCCAATGATCCATCTACCTGCCCACACACCTACCCATTGACCTACCCAGCCATCCATCCATCAATCCATCCACCCATCCATCCATGGCTGGAGCAACTGTTCTCATAACTTTGTAGATGGGTGTCTGAAACCACCTCATCAGAGTCAGGTACACCTCACCAGTCTCAGAGCTCTATCATGTAAAAATATGATCACAGGCCATGCAGGTATAAGCAGACTCCCCAGCCACCAACCTCAGACCTTAAGGATGAGTACAGCCCAATGCCAGAGCATTCTTAAACTCAGGTGAGGAACCAGAACAGCAGTGATTTTCTCAGCTGTCTCCAGGAGTCATGCTAACAAGTCCTCTCACCTATATAATAGGGGGTATCCTGCACAATTATAAATTAGTGTGGGAGTTTGAGGTCCAGGATTCCATCATCCTTCCTTCTCTCCAGGTTTCTGACTGAGGAGATGGGAAACAATGTGTCTGTTAATGTATTAATACCAGGACGAGGGTGCAAAGCTTTTGTTAAGAGCTGTAGTGGAGAATGCAGTCAAGGTCAGAGGATTGACACAAGTCCTCTAGTGTCTACCTTTATTCCTCTTAAGTCTAAGAATCCAGAGACCCCATGAGGATGGATGAGAAGCTGGCACCAAGAGAAAGAATGCCCATCTGGGTGGCAAGGGCAGCTGGTCTTGTCACCCAGTAACAGATGGACAGAGACCATGTGGTGGCTACACATTACCTTTCAACTCAGGGCCCTGCCTACCAATGCAGGGTGGTCCAGGCACTGGCCAATCAGATTGCCCCCCACCATGGGGAGGAGCAAATACAGGACGACAGAGGTGGAGCAGGGGGCAGAGTGTTCCCTCTTCTTTGTCATGGAGGAAGGGAGTTGGATGGGAGTTCCATCCTTTCCATGAGTAGAGGGAAGTGAGGACTGAAGAAAGGAGCCCAGTGGTGGTGACAGCAGAGACAGTGGCAGAGCCAGGGTCCATGGATGGGCAAAGGAGCCCCTAGCCCACTCTGACAATGGTCAGGGAGGGCTCCCTGGGGAGGAGGTAAATGACCCGCACTCAAGCAGTTAGCTGCAGAGAGGACGGCTGGGCATCTACACAGAAGGGACAGCGTGATCAAAGGCAAGGAGATGAGACACAGTGTATGGGGACTGGCCATAATTTAGGCTTTCAGGAGCCTATGGCCTGCAGCAGCCTGAGGCAGGAGAGGTAGGCTAAGTCGGATCCTGAAGGGGCTTGCAGGCCACCCTGTGTGCCTAGAGAATGAGGAGGGAAGGCCGGAGAGTGATAGCAAAAATCAATCCTCTAAATGTTACGGGGTTTTATTTTTTAAATGAATTTGCATGATCCTGGATCAGGAAAAATCCAGCCTCTGATCTCCTCTTTACCTGACACATTCGTTGGTTCCTGTTTCTGCCCTCCTTGATACACTGGAGAATTGGGGGAGGGCCAGCAGGGGGCTTTCCACCCCTGATATTAGGCCAGTGGGAGGAGAGGCCGAGGAGCCAGCCCAGACCCCTGGAGGGGCAGGGGGCAGTCACTTGCAGTTCTCAGAGCCTCCACTGTATGCTGAGCTCCAGTGCACTGTATGCACTGAGGGCCTGTGGAAGTGGTCTTGGGGGAGAGTAGAGACAGGAACAAATTGAACAGTACACCCAGCCCTGAAGTGTTACTTTCCTGTGGCTGCCACAATAAATTTGCACACGTTTAGTGGCTTAAAGCAACATAGATTTGTTATCTTACAGTTCTAGAGGTCAGAAGGCTGAAATGGGTCTCACTGGCTAGAATCAAGGCGGCAGAGCTGGGCTCCTGCTGCAGGCTCTGTGGGGTAGTCTGCTCCTTTCTTTTTCCAGCTTCTAGAAGTGTCTGCTTTCCTTGATCGAGGCTGTTGCATCTTCAGCTCCAGCAGGCAGCAAGCACATCTCCTCTGGCCTCTGCTTCTGCCATCTCACCTCCTTCTCTGGCTCTCCTGCCTTCCTCTTCTGCTTTGAAGGACCCTTGTGATTAGATCGGGCCTGCCTGGATAATCCAGCACAGTCTCCCCTCTCAAGATCCTTAATTTAATCATAGCTGCACAGTCCCTTTTGTCCTGTAAGAGACATCTTCACAGGTTTTGGGGATTAGGACCAGACCGTCTTTGGAGGGGCATCCTTCTGCCTGCCATATGTGACTTGGGGGCATGCGGGAAATGGCTGGAGCGTAACCACAAAGCATACAGCATGCAGCCAAGCAACATGTGACAAGATGAATCCACAAGCGCTGGGGAGACAACCAGTGAGGAAGAAGCCCAGGAGACTTCTTGGAGGAAGCGAGTTTCAAACCAGGTTGGTGAGAGGACATGGCAAGGCTTCTGAACCAAGAGAATGAGATGGACAAAGACACATGGGGCAGAAGGCCCCAGGCAGGAGAGGGCAGGCCTACCTGTAACCCAGGCCTCTTCTTCCTGCCTTTTACTTTTAAGTGAGGTCACCTGAGAAGGAGGTTGGTGTGGCTGCAAATTCATGGGAATTGGGAAAGAAAATCTCTGTTTCCACCTTGGCTCTGTCACTTACTAGCTCTGTGGCCTCGGGCAGCCTTCTTCATCTCTGAGCTTTGGTTTCCTTCTCTGTAACATGGGAATTATAATCCTACCTTCCTCCACGTGGAGTTGTGAGTACTAAAAAAGTGAGACACATTTTTTTGGAGGAGATAAAGATGGGGTGTTGCTGGGGGATGTGGAGGAGCATCTCAAGAATGTTCTCCTCCCACCCCTGCTCATTCCATGCCACTTAGTGTGGGCAACACCACAGGAAAAAAACAAAAAGCCATGAAAACTGCAGTGTGTCTTGGCACCTGCTCACCTGGAATTTCGGAGCACAGTGGGGTTCTGCTTCAGGAGGTCATGCTGTATCATGTAAGACACAGACACAGCGGCGCACCCTCACTAGCCAGCACCAGGAAACCTGCAAGCCCAAATCAGAGAGAGGAGAGGCTGCAGAGCTGCCACTCAACTGCCATTTCAGCTCTGCCCACTGCCCCACCCAGCCACCCCCTTAGCCTATCAAATTTATTTAGCCACTTCCCTATATCAATCCTTTGCCCAGCCTCCTCCCTCCCTTCCCAGAGCTTTGGAAATTTTTTATTTTATTTTATTTTATTTTATTTATTTAGAGACAGGAGCTCACCCTGTCACCTAGACTGGAGTGCAGTGGCACAGTCATAATTCACTGCAGCCTCAATCTTCCAAGCTCAAGTGATCCTCCTGCCTCAGCCTCCTGAGTAGCTGGGACCACAGACACTCACTACCATACTCAGGTAACTTTAAAAAAAATTTATTCTTGTAGAGACAGGGTCTCACTCTGTTGCCCAGGCTGGTCTCGAACTCCTGGGCTCGAGCAATCCACCTACCTCATCCTCCCAAAGTGTTGGGATTACAGGCGTGAGTCATTGCACCTGGCTGGAAATGTTACTTAAAACCTACCTTGCTCTCCAGTTCTTTTGAACCGTGGCTTACCTGAGAGTAAACAACTCACGCCTTGCTCTGTCTTATCCCCTCGAGGTCCTCATAGACATCTAAGAGGGGAGGATCCGCTGTGGAAGTGCATGGGCTGGAGATTTTTCTACATTGCTTGCACTTCTCCATCGGCAGGGGGACTGTGGAAATCTGTGCTCACCAAATACTGCTCAGCAGTCCTGTGTCTTGGAGATGTACCTGGGCTCCTTTGGGGAGGCTCACAGCAGCAACAGATGCCAGTTAGTCAGCTTGAGGCAGGAAGGAGAGGCTTAAGCCCCTGACTCTTGATAAGGCACTCTTCTTGGGAAGAAGGCCACATTCAAGTAGAAGGCAAAGCAGATGGTGAGAAAGGCCCACCAGCATCAGGGGTCTCCAGCTGGCTGTGCTTCCGGGAATGCAGCCCGTTCTGCAGCATCACGGCTGGCACCAGCTCCCTGCTCCCAACCTCCAACCTGCCAAGGGTGAGTGGGGGATGCAGACTCACCACCTTTCGTTGGCGTGAAGGGAGACACAGCCACCTTCTAAAAGGTGCAGAGTGATTCTCTAAATGAGAGTCTCTAAAATATTGGAAAGCCTGTTTTTTTTTTTCTGCTGTATCTTGTTTTAAATAACACACACCAGTGCATGTGTACATGTGTGCACTTTCTTGTTTCTGTTAGAGAAGGTTGGACTCACCAAATGTGAAGCCTGGCTTAAAATACAGGCCATGTGGTATACATCAGATTCACTTTGGGGAGCTCTGAGGGCAGGTGGCATTTCAAAGGATTAGCAGTCATGCCCCAGCAGCCAGCAGGAGGGCTTGACGAGTGCTGATCTGTGCGATGTGACATATACCATATGTATTAAGAGGCTGACGATGGAGAAAACAACACTGGCTTCAAATATGAACCCCAAACTGAAAGTCATAAGGATAAATGCTCCAAATGGCAGTGTCAATTTCTATTCTACTTAAGCTGCTTCTCACATAGGCAACTTAGTGTAATTTTGTGTGTCTGTGTCAGTCAGGCCAGACTTGCTGCTATAACAAACGGCCCCCACATTGCTGTGACTGAACACTATAAATTTATTCCTAGTTCATGTTACAGTCCAGTGCAAGTCAGAAGGGAATGAGTTTTTCTTTACACTGTCATTCAGGGACCTGGGCTCCTTCAGTTGCATGGCTTGAACACCTTCTATGACCCCAGAGTCTTCCCCTGAATTCTCAGCACCAGCTGGCAGGTGAGAGAAGAGGGACACATGGAGGAACCCAGAAAGGTTTTAGGGGCCAAGGCTGAAAGGGCTCCTGTCACTTTCTCCTTCATTCAGTTGGCCAGAAGTAGACATATCATCTGTCAAACTGAAAGCAGTCTGGGAGCTACAGAGCAGCTGTGTGCTCAGGAAGAAGAGGACTGAGTTTGGTGGGCATCTGGCCAGTTCCTGCCACCATGCTGCTGGATGAGAAAGCTGGATGAAGTTCCTTATTAAGGGCAAATGAGTGAGTCTCCTGACTTGACTAGGTTTGTGCCTTCAGAGCTCTGTCTCCTGTGGTGAATCACACACTCCAGCCAACAATTCTGCCATTCTTCAAATCATGCTTGGGATTCCATTTTTGGTACTCTCTTCAGAGCCTTTGAATATTCTAATGAATGGTAAATTTTTATCCTTTGAGAGTTCTTTTGATTCCTAGAAGCACCAGAAATCATTTGGAACCAAGCCTGGGAATAAGGGGACTGATCAAGCTAAATCACCTTTTTTGGGTCAAAAATGAGATGTGACCATAAAGTAAACCAACTCTTGAGGCAAATTCCAAAGATGAGATACCCACACAGCACATTTTGAGGATTGACTGTGTCACTGGAATAATTCTGTGAGGCTTCCCAAGGGGCTGATTTGGAAGGAACAACATTCATTTACATGCAGTCATGTGCCGCATGATGACATTTGGGTCAATGACAGAACACATATATGACAGGGGTCCCATAAGATTATATAAGAAAATTCCTATCACCTAGTGATGTTATAGCCATTGTAATGTCATAACACAACACATTACTCGTGCTTGTGGTGATGCTGGTGTAAACAAACCCACTTCACTGCCAGTTGTATAAAAGTATAGCACATATTAATACAATTATATACAGTACATAATACTTGATAATAAACAACCATGTTACTGGTTTATATATTTAGTATACTATACTTTTTATTGTTATCTTATTTTTTGTTTTTCTTTTCATTTTTGAGATGGAGTCTTGCTCTATCACCCAGGATGGAGTGCAGTGGCATGATCTTGGCTCACTACAACCTCCGCCTCCTGGGTTCAAGTGATCCTCCCACCTCAGCTTCCCAAGTAGCTGGGATTACAGGCGTGTACAACCACACCCAGCTAATTTTGTTTTGTGTTTTTAATAGAGACAGGGTTTCACCATGTTGGCCAGGCTGGTCTCGAACTCCTGACCTCAAGTAATCCACCTGCCTTGGCTTCCCAAAGTGCTGGGATTACAGGTGTGAGCCACCACACTCAGCCTTTTTATTGTTATTTTAGAGTGTACACCTGCTACTAATTAAAAAAGAGAAGTGGTGTAGAAAAAAGAAAAATTAAATAAATCTGCTAAAATCTCTTTTTAAAATTTAAAGTAAACCTAATCTGGTATTTCCAGATTAAAAAAAAAGAGTTAAGTGTAAAACAGCCTCAGGCAGGTCCTTCAGGAGGTATTCTAGAAGAAGGCATTGTTATTACAGGAGATGGCAGCTCCATGTGTATTATTGCCCCTGAAGACCTGCCACTGGGGCAAGATGTGGAGATGGAAGACAGTGATAGTGATAATCCTGACCCTGTGTAGATCTAATGTGTGTGTTTGTATCTTTGTTTTTAACAAAAAAGCTTAAAAAGTAAAAACAAGTAAAAAAATTTAAAAGTAGAAAAAAATTAGAAAATTAGAAAAAAAGTAGAAAAGTAGAAAAAAGCAGAAATTATAGAATAAGGAAGTAAAGGATATAAAGAAAGAACATCTTTTTGTATAGCTATACAATGTGTTTGTGTTTTAGCTAAATGTTAATACAAAAGAGACAAAAAGTTAAAAAAATTAAAGGTTTATAAAGTAAAAATGTTACATTAAGGTTAATTTGTTATTGAAGAAAGAAAAATATCTTTTATAAATTTAGCGTAGCCTAAACACAACGTCTACATAAAGTCTACAGAGTCAGGCACAGGAATGTCCCAGGCCTTCCCATTCACCTACCTCTCACTCACTGACTCACCCAGAGCAACTTCCAGTCCTACAAGATCCATTTACGGTAAGCGCCCTGTACAGGTGTACCTTTTTAAATCTTTTATACTTTATTTTTACTGCAGCTTTTCCATGTTTAGATAAACAAATACCATTGTGTTACAGTAGTCTACATTATTCAGTGCAGTAACATGCTGTACAGGTTTGTCACATAGGAACTGTAGCCTATGTCATACAGCCTTGGTGCGTAGTAGGCAGTACCTTCTGAGTTTGTGTGAGTATACTCTATGATGTTCAAACCACAACACAATTGCCTAAGGATACATTTCTCAGAAAGTATCCTTGTCATTGAATGACACATGACTGTATATACATTTTGATAAATTGTGTGTGTGTGTGTGTGTGTGTGTGTGTGTGTAGTGGATTACTTTGTAGTTTAGGTTCATACGCTGTCATTTATTCATGATCTATGTTGGTCTTTTTGCCCAATCAACTGAATCTACAGGAGTAGAGGTGTATCTTCTGTAAGCAATCATCTCAATTTATGGTTTTAAGTATTCTTGACATGCCGTCAGCCTGTATAACCCATCATGGATTTGTTCCGTCACTCACTAAGTATGTATTGAATGTCTATGTGTGCAAAGCTATTTTGCTTGATTCAGACAAACTGTGATACTAGATGACAGCAACTGCTTCCCTAGCAGCCTGAAGCTCAGTTTGTAGGTGCTAGCAACAGAGTGTTCTAGGATGAAGAAGCAAGAATCGGGCACAGACCTCTTGGATGGCCAGTATGAGAGGAAACTGGTCTTGGAATAGGCTGCACTTGATGGTTCAACTGAAGTGTCCTGAGAAGAGTGATTACCCATAAAATTTTCTCATTGGCTGAAGAACACTGGATCAGCTTTTCCCTGGACTGGTGCTTTGCTTTTCTGAATAAACCCAGTGTCTTGGAACATCCTCACATGTATTTCAGAATTACTTATGTCACCCCAAGAAATACAACCTCAGATTATCTTTTTCTCATGAGCAATGAGGAGGAAGCATAAGAGATAAGGGTGGACCCTGCCGTATAGTCACAGTCCAGGAAGGAAGTTGGGGACCTCCTTGTACCATCATATGACTGCATTCAAAGATGAGGAAGTAAAGCCTTATGTCTGAAAGTGTAGTCCTCAGCTCACTGATAAAATAAAAAATCATCTGGGATGCTTGCTAATATGCAGATTTGGGGCCCTTCCATTTAAGCAATCCCTCTCCAGGTGATTTGTTAAGGCTTGAGAAGCACAGGTGGAAGGGCTTTGGGCTGCCCTGAGTCTGTGACTAGCTGTCTCCATCAGCTCCAGGCTCTGCAGCGAGCAGCAGGAGTCCCAGACCAGAGCTTCAGTTGCTAGTGCCGGTGAGACACACTGGTCCACACTGGGGTCCAATAAACCACACTGCAATGAGGCCTGTCCCTGTGGGTCACGTTGATGAGCTGGAGACAAAGCACTTCAGAACCTTGTTTTACCAAGCATGGTGGAGACGGGCTGCATCATCTTGGTGTGCATGT